>NW_013171803.1:0-82315 GCF_000001405.40 Homo sapiens | reverse complement strand
CAGGCCCACACCACCATGCCCCACTAATTTTTATATTTTTTGTAGAGACAGGGTTTTGCCATGTTGCCCAGCCTCATGTGGAACTCCTTGACTCAAGTGATCCACCCACCTCGGCCTCCCAAAGTGCTGGGATTACAGGTGGGAGCCACTGCACCCAGCCAATTGATAATGTTTATTAGCATCTTTACCAGCATTAAAAAATTCACATTATTAAAAAATTCTCCCCAGGAAGAACGTAACTTGCCTCACTAAGGTGAGGCTTAGGCATTATCTGTATCCCCATCTAGCTAGGTCATCACCATCTTGTTAGTGTGGATGAGACAGTGTTCACTGAGTGTTGGAAATTATGCTGATGTTTTACATGAACTTCTAAAGTCATCTGTGATAATGGCTTTGAAAAATGGTACACAATAACCTCCAATCATGAGCTGCTTCCTATTAGAATTAGTAAAATGCAAACAGCAGGAAGAAAGAAGGCAGGATGAGACATGGGTTAAGACAGTGGTTCTCAAACTGTAGCTGGCATAGCAACCCGCTGGAGGCTATTAAAAAACAGATTGCTGGGCTTCACCCCCAGAGCTTCTGACCCAGTAGTTTCTGGGTGAGACCCAAGAATGTGCACATCTAATAAGTCCTTGGGTGATGTTAGTGCTCCTTTTGCTGGTCAGGGTACCACGCTTTGAGAAAACACTGAATTAAGGATAAAGAGTAAAGGAGCCAAGAGAAACTGCAGTGTAATTGTGCCTCGTCCTGATGAGGTTTCCGGCAGGAAATGCTGGCTGTGTGGCTAACATGGGACAGACAGCATGAGGAAGCAGGAAGTTGTGTTGTCTAACCGTGGATCATGAATATGAATCTGACACAAAGGACAATGGGGCTGGAGAGAGCAGAAGGATGAAGTGGAAAAGAAAAATGTGTTTCAGAGGCAGACACGTCTAACAAGGTAGAAGCAGGTTACAGAAGCAGCAGAGAATAGTATGCAGATGTCAGTGTAGGTCAATGTCATAAGTCTTAAATCATGAGACATAGAAAGCAACGGATCTAAGATATAGAGCTGGCCACCAAGATTGTGCCAGCCTTACTCTCCTCTTCTGGTGAAGCATAAGAAACAAAGATGTTAGGAGAGTCAAAGTTAACACCAAATCAGAGAGAATGAATAAACTCATTCAATAGACAAACACCTGTTGATGACAACATGCATCATCTACCAGAAACCTCCAACCCCCGACAATGACCTCATGGAGAAGCCAGAGGTTTGCTGTTAGCTCATTATGATACTTGTAGAAACAACTGCTCAGTAGGCTGCTGCCAGGGCCCTGGAGCTTACCCATACCCCAGCCTGCCGCTCCTCCCATAAGTGAGGCATGAGGCAAACACCTCAAATGGACCTTGTCCAAGTGGCTTAAAAAAATGGTTTGTTGCTACATTATTGTTCTTCATTTGGCTTTAGGGACACCCCCTGGTTTTGGGGTGATCAATATCAACTTCTGTTCAATTACATTTTCTCAAATCCTCATGGTTAACCGAAGTTGTTTTTTATAGATGACTGTCACTATGGAGAATGGGTGACAGGAATTCTTTCAGGCTCTCATGGGTACCTATGTAACAAGAGTTTTATTTAGAAATAGATATAAAAATCTGATATGTATATATATATACACACACACACACATATATACACATACATACATATATGTGTGTGCATGTCTGTGTGTGTGTGTATATATATATAGAGAGAGAGAGAGAGAGCGCAAGAGAGAGACAGACAGACAGACAGAGAGTGTCTTGCTCTCAGAGTGTTGCTCCATCACCCAGGCTGGAGTGCAGACTTTACCTCCTAGGTTCAAGTGATCCTCTCACTTCAGCCTCCCAAGTAGCTGGGACTACAGGTGCACACTACCATGCCTGGATTTTTTTTTTTTTTTTTTTTTTTTTTTTTTTAGAGATGGGGTCTTGCTATTTTGCCAAGGCTGGTCTTGAACTCCTGGGCTCAAGTGATCCTCCTGCCTCGGCCTCCCAAAGTGCTGAAATTACAGGAATGAGCCACCATATCTGGTAAAATATTGTATGAAGGAAGGACATTTTATTCTGAAAAGGCTCAGGGTTCAGGACCCTCTGGAGTTTAGGATTTTTAAAAGTGTCAACTCTAATTCTGAAACACAAAAGTACATTAATAAATGTAAGCTCACCACTAAATCTGATTTTCTATGATATGAATTATGGTTCATATTTTTGAAAACCCATGTTTAAAATGTATCTCTAGTGAGCTAAGAAATCCTTATTTAATAAATAACCATTGAATATGACTATGAAGAATTGCTTTATATCTATATATTGAACCAATATGGCAATACATTTCACACAGATCCAAAAACTAAAAATAAAACTTTAAAACCAGAATAAAAATGTACGAAAAATAGAATAGTAGAAACAAATATATATTTATTTATTTATTCAGGTTGTTCAAGAGGGAAGCCAGATGGATAGTGCTGACTTCCTTATAGAACTTTCTGATTTTTAATTTGCAAAAGGAAATGTTGTACACCAAACAGAAGAACAAAAGCAGCACAATGGAAACATACGTGCTACACAGACCTAATAAAAGAACATACTCTTCCAAGTAGGAAGAGTGTTTGTTCTGGTAAATAAAAAATCAAGTCCCAGGTGCCACTTGTAAAATGCATAACCTTGCTAGGAATTAGAGAAATGCAAATGAAATGACCATGTGAGTGACGTGGATGCATGAGATGTGTTTGAAATAATGTCAAGCACAAAAGCAGGAATGGAGGACAGTATGCACATGTGGATTACAATGACATGAAAATGAAATATGAGTGCAGGTTGGCAAAGCTCTGAAGTGAATCTGGCATGATATAGAACTTAATGATCATTCACTTTTTTTCCCCTGCAAGATGCTTACATTTATTTTTAAAAATACAAAAAAATTGCATGCTGCCATGTTACACTAAAACAATAATAGCTTGGTTAGAGGGGAAACCCATTCCTCATTCCTCTGGTTTCTACATGGAGACGTTTTCCCCAGGGCTTCTGCTTGCCTACCCTCTTGCCCCTCTTAACTGCTGCTTCATTGCTGGGGTATAAGCACTGGCCCCTGTGTCTCCACTGGGGGAGCCAATCCATCCTTTCCCTCCTGCCCTGGACCCGTGTTGACTCCAGACTCAGACTTTCCCAGTTGGTGGGCTGATTTGAGGTCAAGGCTAGGGGAGGAGCATGATCAGACCCATCAACGACTTCCTCCAGCCCAGCTTTTGCCAGTGATAAAGGAGATCCCCTACTTCGATCTCCCATTTGTCTTATTTCTCACATGGTTCAGAAACTCAGAGACAGAAGATGGTTCAGAAATTCAGAGACAGAAGAAGAGTGCTAATAGAGGGCCCCTCAAATCCTTAACAGTCTGGAGACTCAAGGGAAGAGAATGCTTTTTCCGCCTCAGGTAAAAAGAAATCGAAGGAGGCACTGACAGGTGATAGAAAGAATGGTGTTAGAAACCATGCTCTCCTGGGGGACCTGCTAACCTCAGTTAACAGAGGTGTGCTGGTGAGCGCCTCTAATTTGTTCTCAGGAGAGACAGGTGGGGTGAAGCGCAGCTGCAATGGAAAGAAGCCCTGACTCAGAGCACAGGGAGAGCCCTGTTATCCTGGCCATCACTAGCTCTCAACAAGCCACTTAGCTTCTGGGGACCTTAGTGTCTGCCCCTTGAAAAGAAAAGGACTGTGTTGGATGATGCCTGACTTCCTTGCAGATCAAAGTATTCTCTGCATGAGGGCTGGAAGAGATGAGAAAAAGCGCCCCCACCCAAACTTGCAAATCATCCTGAAATATCAGATGAGCTAACACAGCACAGCATTTTATATTCAGGTTTTCTTTTTCTTGCCTGACATACGGTTTAGACCTATTACAGCAAGAACTAGAAAGTAAATGAATGAATTTCTGCTTTATTGTTGGCTAAACAAAGTTTTATATTTTTATTTTTTAAAAACTTGTAAGTAAAGTTTTCACATAGATCTAGAAATCTGTGCTCTACACAAAAAGGCTCTGTACACAGCAGAGAGACAGGGAGGAAGAAATGAAAGGAGAAAGAAACATTTCTGGAGCATCTTCGGTGTCCAGCATTATGTTGGACTTTTTATATATGATAGTAATAATAACAACCTCTGAAACAATATTTCAGAGAACTTACTATGTGCCAGGCTGTGTTTATTTTTTCCTTCCTTCCATCCATCCATCCTATGAAGTTAGTACCAAAATCACTCTCATTGTTTAGAGAAAAGTGAACATTAGAAAGTTAAATAACTTGTGTGAAGTCCCTAGCTCAGTAGATGCTGAGCTAGTACTATATGGTAAGAGAGAGGGAGGGGGAGAGAGAGAGAGAGAGAATGTATGTGATTTAATTTAAAATGGCTTACTTGGAAATTTTAATTCCTTAAGGATGGCAAGAACCACATAGAATCCTTTATAAATAAGACATGTAGTTGTGATTAACAAAACTCAAACTCTCTTAACTGTTAGTTCTTGTAGAAGAGAATAATGAACATCATGAAACCATGGCTACATTTATGCTTCCATTGTAAAGAAACATTATGTAAGTGAAGTGCCATGCGACAATTTTAGACCAAAAATCATAAGAAGAATTAACTACACTGCATCTTTGTTGGTAATGCAAATGTGTTGAATTTACACATGCATGCTTGCAAAAATTCAAACACATTTTAATTTACTGATGATCACCTATGGCTATAGTTAGCAAAATAAAGAAGTCAAGCCACCCTGTGTTAAAGCAAATAATTATCCTTGTGAAGACACAGAAGAGGAGGCTAACGCAAGCATTTGCTAATTGCCTTTTCTCTCTGAGACAAGAGCTGCTGTTCAGCATGTTCTGTGTTCCCATTTTAGCTTCCCAGACATGCCCTTTGTGCATCTCAAATGGAGAGTCTAAGGTGCTTCCCACACAAGTGTCATTCTGGTGTTAGTGGTCCTAACATTAGTGAGGCTGAAATAGAGACTTCGTCTTATGTACTTTTTTGACATTGATATATGTTTTCTATGTGAATAGAAAAAAAAAATCCACTCATTAAGGGGGCATAGCTATTGTTTTCAATGGAAAACGCTTGTTATCCCAGCACTTTAGGAGGCCGAGGCAGGTGAATCACGAGGTCAAGAGATCGAGACCATCCTGGCCAACATGGTGAAAACCCGTCTCTACAAAAAATACAAAAAATTAGCCGGGCGTTGTGGCGCATGCCTGTAATCCCAGCTACTTGGGAGCTGAGGCAGGAGAATCACCTGAACCCCGGAGGCAGAGGTTGCAGTGAGCCGAGATTGCGCCATTGCATTCCAGCCTGGGCAACAAGAGTGAAACTCCATCTAAACACCTCAGAGAGGTGTCGTTTTAGCAAGAAGATGCAGAGCTCTGAAAGCTTCTGTTAATCCCAACAACCTTTCAAATCACTGCAATCGAAGCTGCCAGTTGCCCCGATAGTCAGTAAAATGACGTAAAATGATGTGTTGAGTAACAGTTAACTAAGTAATAATTTATCTAAGGATTTCCTCGATGGATTAAAAGCTCTAAGCCTAAGAAGTTGGAAATGTTTCTGAGGCATTTGTCAATCTCTGTTGGAGATATTTTCTCCAGTTTGCCTGAGTTTAGGGAGTTCGTGTGATTACATGGTGCCATAGTTGTCATTTTAAGGAATTTTAAATGTAGAGCATAGAAGGCAATATATTCTTATTAAATGTTGCCTATTTACTAATGAGTGTGACTATCATTTGATGCTTGGGCATTTAAAAAGACTTGATAGTCTTACTTGGAAGAAGAAAAAAACAAAAAACGATTTAAGTTGGTGCAAAAGTAATTGCAATTTTTGTCATTACTTTTCATTAAAGCTGCAATTACATTTGTACCAACCAAATACATTAGTTCTTTGGCACTTTTGGACTTTTCCAAGTGAAGAAAAGTCATTTTGTTGTGTGTGTTTGTGTTTAAAAGTCTCTGTGCACTGTCAGGATTTGAGGCAGACACTACAGGGGACTGTAGGACCAGGGAACCTATATTTTCAGAATCTACAAGTCAGAGAATCTTCCAGTTTTTTTACCCCTACCTGCAGCCAAGTCTTTGGATTATTCTGACCAATATGCAAGAACAATCTGGCAAGAGCCGTGATGTTCTTTTCTGCCTCACGCAGGCATCTCACAAAATCCTTCTGAATCCAACTACCTTGAAAATCTGTGCAAAATTTATTTTCATTCTCAGAATTTAATTGATTCTGTGTTACTTGGAGTGGATATTTTCACACAAGGAATGAAATGGTACCTGTTTTTGTACTCAAAGAATCATCTTGCTTTTTGTTATTGTGGTTATTGTTCTGAGTTTATTATCCTATTTTGATTTTAATAGGCTTCTCCTTCTTGCTGAGAAGCCTTTGCCTAAAACATTAAATAGGTGAGATGCAATGACTTTCCATCACAAGAGTGGCAAAGACATTGACCCTGGGTAGCTTGTTTCAGCTGCACTTCCCTGGAGCTGTTTCCTGCTGGATTTATTAGTATTTGCTGCCTCTGACTGCACCTCATGGTCAATAAACCATGGCTCATGTGGAGTCTGGGCTGCTTCCCCTGCCTTCAGCCTCCTGGTAACCTGAGCGCCTCATTACATGGAATTGTGTGGTGCCTGTCTCCCGGGTATGGTTATACCTCCCCAGCAGTCTGCACGCCAAGTGCATGGTTTCTCAGATGATGTATCCTCATGAACTATCAGGGCTCTGACCACTATTTCCAAACAATGACTCTGGCTCCAAGGTTTGTAGCTGAAAGAGGAGTTACCATCTTGCTATTTCTGGGCATTTTGATATAAAAAATGCAACTGGGGCAGAGATTGAATATAAATGAACAGAATGTCACAGTTTCTCTCCTATGGAATCTGATAGTCTGAATCTCACAGAATCAGTCATTGTGAAAGGGGCCTCTTTCATCATTAATAGGGTAGCCCAACTGAGCCTAGCATCCAAGATTTTAGAAAAGGCTAGAGTTGACCGGGCGTGGTGGCTCACACCTGTAATCCTAGCATTTTGGGAGGCCAAGGTGAGCGGATCACCTGAGGTCAGGAGTTCAAGACCAGCCTGGCCAACACGGTGAAAACCCGTCTCTACAAAAAATACAAAAAATTAGCCGGGCATGGTGGCGCATGCCTGTAATCCCAGCTACTTGGGAGCTGAGGCAGGAGAATCACTTGAACCCCGGAGGCAGAGGTTGCAGTGAGCCGAGATTGCGCCATTGCATTACAGCCTGGGCAACAAGAGTGAAACTCCATCTAAAAAAAAAAATTGGCTAGAGCTGGGGGAGGGAAGTTATAGGGGATGGCCATTTCAAAATTTGCACAGCTCTGTTTCTCTAGCTGGGCTCTCAAATAGGGCATTCATTAGACACATGTAGTGGTGTTCAAGTTCGTTAAAATTGAACAAAATTCACAAAGCAGTTCCTCAATCAGAGTAACCACATTTTAAGTGCTCCACCACCACACGTAGCTAGAGGATACTGCATTGGCCGATGCAGATGACAGAATATTTCTGTTACTGTTGAAAGTTCTACTGGACAGCACCGCTCAAGGTAGACTTGAAAATCACAACCATGGGCCTTACATGTATGCAAAAGTCAATCCATTTCTGGAACAGAGAGGTTAAAATGATGCTGCTACACTGATCTCCACCATAATGAGTGTCTGGCTCAGTGTACTGTAGTCCTATTAGAGAAACTGCAGTTGTGGGAAACCTGGAGTGCTGGGATGGGGGATGAGCTCCAGGGCACACATGGACAGTGGGAGCCCTGAGAGCAGTGAGACAGAACTACAGAGGCACACATGGCCCTTGGAGGAGTCCTGAGCCTTCAGTGGATCTCGGCTCTACTTGGGCGGAAGTGGGGTGGGGTGGGGTGGGGACTGTGAAGAGGACTTGAGAAAAGCATGAAAGGAGAGCAGAAGAGCAGGGAGAACAGGTGGCTGGTGGAGACCATAGCTAACCTTGATCGAGTACCTGCTCTAAGCAGGTGATGACCTAACTTCCCACATTGGATTACGTCCTTTAAGCCCAAACGGGATTATGTCCTTTATGAGATGACAGGCAAGGGCCAGAATGGAGTTGAAGAGTTCATCATTCCATGGGAGGATGGAATGATTCCCAGAGACTCTAGGAGGATCACCCGGTTGGTAACAGACTGCCTTCAATCAAGCAGGCTTGGGCCTGGGAACAGTGAGAAGGGATCAAATGAAAGCATGGCCTTGCTGGCGGCAGCAGTCTAGGGTCCTGGGGTTATATTCAATCAGAAACCAGAGTCTAGAGAGATGAAAAGATGCCCTGTATCTTCCACAGACAGAACACGATGGAGCCAGAACTGGAAACCCTGGCTCAGGACTCCTGCAAGAGTACTGTTCTTTTAGACATTATGAATTGGGTGGCGTGCCCCATTGACTTGTCTAACTTTACACAAGTCTTGGGCAAAAGTATGAAATCTGGAACATTTTTCTAAGCTATTTCCAGCTTTTCCTTCATCAGCTACTAGACTCCCAAAGTTTGGCTGGCTTTCCAGTTATAAAGGTCAATGCATGTCAGTGGCTGGGGAGTAATAGAGCATTGGAAGGCCGGGGACATGTGGATGAGGCATTGATGCCCACTATGCCCCACGTACCCTGCCCTGCCATGAGTTCACAGGAGGGGTCCAGGTAAGCAGTTAGAAAGGGTGGTTTCATGGTGGATATTCCAATATGAATTTACATCATGCAGCAGCACTCAGGCAGGTGACTGTACTTGCAATACTTAAATTTATGGAAACATTTGTCAAAATTAGAGGAAAATATCTGATGGTTATCTGCGCAAATTTTCATCTATGAGACATGAGGGTAATCCTGAAAAACCTTTGGTGCAAAATTTTCTTGCTGTCATCAAGATACCAAGAAGATATAGCCTTCGTTTGTTCCCTGTACACTGTGGTATACGCATGTGATGTAGGAATTGCTGCAGCCATCTTGTCACCATGAGGAGTTACAGCCAGAGGATGGCATCCATTAGCCATGGTACACAGCTGATGAATGAACCAGCCCTGGAGCTGCCCTACAATTGGACTTTATTATGTGAGTTTCATTCTTTCACGCAATAAATATGAAATGAGCACCAACAAACTCTAAGATTGTTTGAGGCATTTGGGATACCTTAGAGGACAAACATACAAAAATTATTAGCCTGCAGACTTTCTAAATTTGCTTATTGTTTCAGTCTCTTTAACCTTTTTATTACCTGCATCTAGAGCATCTTAACTTACACCCTGCTGCCTGCATACTGGCTTCACAGGTAACTGAAGAATCTATATAATAGCATAAATGTAATCAAAAGGGCACTTTTATTCCTGATCTTTTTCTCATTCCTTGTCTTATTTGATGTGTCTGCATTTGACAGTGTGGGCCACTTTGTCCCCAGCTGAGCAACAGTCTCTTGTGTTGGCTTCCATAATGCTACACATTTTTGGTTGACCTCCTATTTTTTGACCACTTCTTAGTTTTTGAGGGTCCTTCTTACTCCTAGGTCATTTTTTTACTCCCCAAACATTAAATGTTGGGGTTCCATGGAGTTTTCTATCAGGGCCACCTTATTTTCCTACTCTACATTCTCTCTGAGAAATACCATCAATTTACATGACTACAGGATGTATACACTGACCAGTCCAAACCATCTCCAGCCCAGCCCAGCCCAGATCTCCCTTGAGTTTCATGTCTGTATACTTAGAGGTCTACTTAGATATTTGGATATCTGAGACTCAATGGGGACAAATCATCACAATGTTTTGTGTCCTAAACTCACTTCTCTCGGGATCCCAGCTCAGGGAATGGTCTACCCAGTCGCCCACGCCCAAATCCTGAGTCTCAGCACTGCCTACTCCCTTTCCTCACTTCCCCAAATCTAAGTGGTCACAAGTCCCTTTAGACCTCACCTCCTAGAACTCTCCAGTCTGTCCTCTCTTTTTCCCCATGCTTACTACCCTTTTCCCCACTACCCACCATCACATCCTCTGAATCCCAGCAACGGTCAGCTAGCTGGTATCCCTGATTCATGTCTTGCTCTCCTTGCAAGTCAGTCTCCCTGCAGGCAGTGTGATGAGGCTGCAAATCTGATTACGTGGAAAACCCTCCCAAAGCACCTCACTGTTCTCAAGATGAAGAATAAACAATGAACATAATTTTCCAGTCTGCATGATCTGTCCTGACTCCCCCTTTCCTTACAGACATGCTGGGCACTCTTACCCCTTCTCTTCATTTATTCCTGACTCCGTGCCTCCAACTGGACTGGTCCTTCAGCTTGTAACATTCCCTTACCCCTCCTATCTTCTCTAGCATGATTCTTACTCACCCCGCAGGGTTCCTCTAAGATACCACTCCTTCCAAGATGCCTTCCCTAAGTCCCCAGGCCTCGGCGGGTGATGCTTCCACATGCACCTGAAAATACTATCCTTTCTCCATTGTAACTGCCAAGCAGACTAAACCCGTCATCAGGACTGTAAGTTCTATCAGCCAGAGACGCCTGGCTTGGCCTTCCTAGTATTCCTGGTGCCCAGGATGGTGCCTGAAACACAACAGGCACTCACAGACATATAATGAATGAATACATTTATGTGGAACGCTTACTCACTACAATAATAATTATTATCTCACTAATTCTTTAGGTTTGGGATAGTGGTTTTCTGAAAGAACAGTGTTGCTTAAGAGAATTGTTATCACAATTGCTCTTTATTCTTATTGTTTAAACCACTTTCTAGCTGTCTTAATTTAACACCTTTACATTTTCAAAGGTGGATTTTGTTAAAAAAGCAAGTCCAAGTAAACCTATTGTATTAAGTGCTTAGGTGCTACACAAATGATTATAGGTTGTTGATGCTGAAAGTAAACACTCTTTTCATTTTCACATGGTTACTCCAAATCACAGCTTTCAGAAAATGCCATTTCTAGGTGAGACGTCAGAAACAGCTAAAAACATGACAAACAATAGTGCCTGGTAAAGGCTGTGAAAAGCATTTCCTATAAACGTCAAGATTTAGAAGTCTATGCACCTGGAATACCAGATAAACTATGGGATTTAAGAAGGCTCGAGTCTACATTTGTCTCCTCTAATACAGAGAAGAAGTTTTATTTTTATTTTTAAAATACGATGACCTTTTAATTTAAATATTGGGCTTTTTCATCTTGAATGTCAGAAGACGAAAAATGCGACCCCTGTGTAAAAGAGTTGTCCATTTCAGGAAGCTTCTGTTTGTGTTTATAATTAAAAATAACACCTTCCAACCTGATTAAGGTTGCTCCAACCTGATTAAGGAAAAAAACATACCTCAATGTACTTTATTACTTGCTGTGGCATGTTATCTCTAATTTCCAGCACACAATGGAAAGCAAAGTTGCTCACTGGCACACTGTCAGTTTTATTCTTTCCTTGCAGGATACATGCCCTCCTTATCTCTTTTCCCCTCCCTGTAGGATTACCTCTTCCCCCAGGTCTAGGTAGGACTGCAGTGGAAACTACTAGGTGAGCTGCGGCAGCTTCACTGATCTCACGGCAGGCTGCCACATTTAGGGTGTGGAATTGTCTAACATGCAGGGAAAATGTCATTTCATCGGATGGTAGAGAAGTGGTCTTCTTTTCCCTCCCCATCCTCCCAATAAAAGATACATCCACGTGAATTACACATACCCATACCATACAAAGTGAGTGACACTGTGGTAGAATTGAGGCTTCATAGAGAAATTCAGTGATGGAAATAGCACAATCACCACTGTTATCCCTAACATTCTACAAATACAGCATCATGTTTATTTGTAGAGATTACTTGCAACAGCCAGTAATAGCAATATTTATTAAGATTCTCAGATAACCAATGTGCATAGCCTTCCTGTGTCCCTATAAATCCCACATGAAGAACATATGATCTCAGCAGGGGTTTTAAGAGTTCACACTCACCGGCTGTGACTTAGGTTACATCAATAACCTTTCTGGGCTTCAGCTGCTTCCTGCCTACATTGGAATAATCAGTAGCTAGCCAGGTGACTTCGTGAGATCCTCGCCAAGTGTGAGAAATATTATCACTATTTTATTAATGACCAAACAATATACAGTTGCTCCTTGAATGACACAGGTTTGAGCTGCATAGGTCCATTCATATGTGAATTATTTTCAACCCAACACAGATTGAAAAACCTGTGTTTGGAGGGCTGATGTTCTGTATACATGGGTTTCACAGGGCTGACTATGGGACTGGAGGATGTGCGAAATTTGGTATGGGAGGTGGTTCTGGAACCAATCCCTTGCGTATACCTCGGGATGACTATACTATTGACTGACATTGCTATATTTTTCCCATACCACTTAAAGACACTATCTGAAAGTAGGGCATTTGGCATCCATGTATACAAATATATACATAATATAATATTACCTATTTAAATAACTGGCAATAAAGTTTTATGGACCATAAAACTGAATAAATAAGGGGGATCAGTGTTCTTAGTATTCTGGATTTCGCCGGTGCAGTGAATAAACCAAGTCATGTGAACATGCAGAAATTACCTCATGCCTGCATTCATTGCTTTCTATTCGCATTTGCTGAACATCAATTTTGTCCCAGGCACTGCTATAGACACTTGGGCTACAACAGGGAACAAATCAGACGAAGACCCCTGCCCTGCTTGGTGGAGCTTATGAAGTGAGGAGAGATAGGCAAGAAAAAATTAACATGATAAATACATAATTTACAGGCGTCTGAAGGTGGAAGGTGATAAGAGATAGAAGAAAAAAGGAAGAAGGAGGGTAAGGGGTCTAAGAACTTAGAGAAGGCGGCAGCAATTTTAAACTTGGTGGTCGCAGAGTAAGCTTCACTGGGAAGGTGACACCTCAGCCAAGGCTGGAAAGAGGAGCCAGCCATCTGGATATCTGGGGGAAGAGGCTTCTGGAAGAAGGCGCAGCCAACGCAAACCTCGAGGGCCAGGAAGCAGGGCTGAAGTGGCACCAGGGAAAGGGAGTTTGTAGGAGGGATGAAGAGAGTGAAAACGAAAGTTAGGGGTTGGAGGGCAGACCATGCAGGGCTTTACGCTGTTGTAGAAACCTGGAATTTCTGAGTGAAATGTGGAGCCACTGCAGGCTTTGAGCAGGCAGTGACAGGCTCTGATTTACAGGGTAATGAGAGAGAAGCAAATGCCACAGAGAGGCCTTTATTGAAAAGAAACATCCCGGGGCAATCTGAAGAACTTAAGGGCTCATGAATGAAGTTACAAGTTGCCTTAAAGTTGTAGTAGGACCAGGTTTCAGAATCTGGGTGCCCATGCCCCTGTTTGAGCCACTCGGTCACTTCGTTTAGGTCTCTGTGAAAATATCACCTCCCACAAGAGGTCCTCCATGATTGCATTGACCTAAAATCACAACCCCCTCCCCCTTCGCTTGACTTTATTTCCTTATCCTGCTGCTTCATTTTTCTTCAGAGCGCTCATCACTCCTTGGCAACAAATACTATATGTATTATTTCCTATTTCTGAGTAGAAGGTAAACTCTGAAATGGTAAGATTTTGCAATTGTGGTTATCACTGTAGCTCCATACCGAGGCAACTCCTTGGCACGGAGGGAGCACCTGGTGCCAATTTGTTGAATGAATAAATACATACATAGCCCGGGAGCCAAGGAGAACTTTGTTTAATTAAACTTTGTTTAGTTTGTTTAAATTAAGTTCAAATTTAAGCAAATAGGTCATAAGATTGAGGAATAAATAAAAATAAACTGTCGAACTATAGATTATTTTACACCATTAATTGGTTTAACATTTTTACTATTTATAGTGTTGGCAGTTCACCTTAACATTTAAGTTGTGTTCTTTATAAAACAATCATATTGTAGAAAATCAGGAAAATGAGAAAAAAAGAACCTATAATTTTCTGTCCATGCTACCATCACAACTAACATAATTTAAAATTTCCTTTTATGTGGTTTTCAAAGTGTGCTGCATTCTTACCTGGCCTCAATATATCTAGAGATCAAACTATTTCCTCTGATTTTAAAACTTTTATCTAAATCTCTGGATTGTAAAATTATGTGATTCAATATGGAAGCCAATAATAAAAAAAAAAGCTGTTGAATAACTATGCTCTTCTTGTCTAACACACTCTGTTAAATGAGGAATCTCTGTGCCGGTTCAGTCGACATTTGAGATTACTTTTCTTAGACCCAAGCTCTCATTTTGCCTGAATTAAATTCATTGACCAGTTTGGGATTTTAACCCATGAAGGAAAATGGAAAGAATTTTGAGAACTGTCAGAGTAATAAAACCTCATTAATTTTGTGTGTACTCTGCCCAAATAATTACGACTCTCAAATCACTAGTTTATTTTCATGGTTTCTATGAACAAGTGGGGCATTATCAGGCAAAATCAATAATGTAAAAAGCACTGGAAGGGAAAATCCTACCTACTAAAGACAAATTATCTTCCACCACATTAGTAGTATCGTGCACACAAACAGCATAACTGCGGCACAAACAGAGGTGGGGCCTGGAGGCTGCATGCAGGTGGACAGGCTGACACAGTCATTACAAATCAATGCGGCAGCTGTCAGGGTCCATGCATCGCTGGTGGAAACGATTTTGCTGCCGGTAACTAGCTAGAGTCATGTGCGCTAACACAAGGAGATGGTGCAAAATGAGGAATGACCAGCCAGGCAATATGGAATGATTGCTCCGAATCTATGAGATTTATCCTTGAAATGAACAACTTAAAAAAAGAAAGTCTCTTTGCCATTTGCCGTTCATCAGGTTGCGGCAATAAAATTCTATTTGCTTTACCCCCCGAATCTCAGATACAGGAAAAAGAATGATATTATAGAAAGGGAAGAACAAATGACAGGAAAATGACTTGCTTAGAGGCTAAGAGGAAAGCCAGGTGGAACCGAATTCGGATACAGAAGACCGGGTTCTCGGTGGACACTGACACGAAGGCCATTCTGAGGAGGTCACAGATCTTTGTACTTTTTAAATCCTCAGACAAAAGGGGACAGTGATGTCCACTCTTCTGAATTCTTGGGCCTGTTGATAGGGTCACCTAGGGTGAGGCACATAAAAGGTTTGAAGAAAATATAAAGGACAATGATGATGATGATGAGACTACCAACAATCACAGCATGTTAACCCTTATTGAGAATTTATAGATTGCTATAAAGTCACTGTTATAAAAAAGTCACTGTTCTATTTCATATGTGCTATCTCCTGTAATCCTCATCACAACATCACCCATACTTTCAGATAAAGCAAGAGAAGCACAGAGAAGTCAAGCAACTTGACTAAAGTTGCACAGCTAGTCAACAGTGGAACTAGAATTGAAACTGATTCCAGGGCTCATGCTCCTAACTGTAGATATACTATAATATGAGGCAATGAGATTAATATCCACAGAGATACAAAATGAGTGCTTTTATCAGAAAATCCCATAGAAAACACAAACCTATACACTACTATGTGCAACGAAGTTTTCATTTTAGCCTGTCTCTTCTTCTCCTCTTCCCAACATCCAAACAGTAAACATTTTTGAGCATCTAAACTATATCAGACATGATTTGGGGCTTGGGGAATCGCAGCCTCTGAGGCCCCTGCTCTCCTACAGTTTATGTGCTAGTGAGCAAAGTCAGTCAACAAACAACAGAAAGAACAGACAGTGATAAGTGCAAGGATCAAAGTAAAACAGGAAGTTGTGGTGACAAGTGACATGTGGGGACTAGACTGGTCCTTCCCTCTGCAATCACTTATTTATGTATGTATGTACAGATTTACTTATTTATTTCCTTTTTTGAGACAGAATCTTGCTCTGTTGCCCAGGCCAGAGTACAGTGTGCAATCTTGGCTCACTGCAACCTCCACCTCCTGGGTTCAAGTGATTCTCCTGCCTCAGCCTCCCAAGTAGCTGGGGCTACAGGCGCATGCCACCACACCCGACAAATTTTTGTACTTTTAGTAGAGACAGGGTTTCACCATGTTGGCCAGGCTGGTCTCGAACTCCTGACCTCAAGCGATCCACCGCCTTGGCCTCCCAAAGTGCTGGGATTACAGGCGTGAGACACCGAGCCCGGCCCGCAGCCACTTACTGAGTGCAGGTCCTGTGTCAGCTCCATGTGTGCTGATGGAGAAAGAAGCAAGTGTGACAGAGGCACAGCGCCTGCTCTCAGGGAACTCCTAACTGTTGGTGAGGACTTGGGGCACCAACAGTCTGGAGTTCCTTGAGAGCAGCCTAAGGGACCCTCCAGTCTCAGGGATCCTGTTTCTTTCCCTATCAAATGAGGCTTTTGCTCCAACAGTTTGTGACTTCTTTTTATAAGTCAGGAAGCCACTTAGGCAATTCTTATCTTAACCCAGTTATTAGATGTAACGGAAATAATAAATGCTACTGTACATGTATTCTCTACTTCAGAATATTCCTGAGGGAGAAGAGGGATTGTTTAAGTGGATCTGAACAAGTTTTGGCTGTAACAATAATATTTATTTAAGCACTCGGGTGCTTATTATATAATATTATACCTTTAGTTAAACATTTTCCATCTCTCCTGGGGGGTGAATATGGGGAAAGGAGCTTATGATGAAGCATGGAGATTTAAAGTTAGAACAAGGGAGGGGCCGGGCGCGGTGGCTCACACCTGTAATCCCAGCACTTTGGGAGGCGGAGACGGGTGGATCACCTGAGGTCAGGAGTTTGAGACCAGCCTGGCCAATGTGGTGAAACCCCATCTCTACTTAAAAAACAAACAAACAAACAAACAAACAAAAAAACAAAAGTAGCCGTGCATGGTGGTGCGCACCTGTGGTCCCAGCTACTCAAGAGGCTGAGGCAGGAGATCCACTGGAACCCAGGAGGCGGAGGTTGCAGTGAGCTAAGATCCTGCCATTGCACTCCAGCCTGGGCGACAGAGGGAGGCTCTGTCTCAAAACAACAACAACAACAACAACAAAACAAGGGAGGGTTGGGGGATCATACAGGCAGCAAGACATTGAAGAAATGCAAGAAAAGTATGGATTCTTTTCCTGGAGAGCTTAATCCATCAAAAAAGTGGTATGCTGGTATGGTCATACACAGAAATCGATGGATAAAGCTGGCTTACCATAGGGCTTGCTTGACCCCAGGAGGTTCTGATAATGACAGAACGTAGTTTGGAATCATGCACCTTCACATTCTGCCTCCATTATGCCTTGCCACCAGGGCAGGGCAAGAGCTAGGCCACTTTTCTCTTGCATTTCAGGCTAGTAATTTGTGCTAAGAGAAAATACTTCAAAAGTACCACGGGGAAGGCCCATGACAAGAATGAAGGAGGTCAGATTCACCAGAGGAATAAGAACCAACCCACAAAACAGTGGAGTCTGAAAGATGCGCCAGAACCCAGAAGTACCACCTGCCTCGTTGTAGTAGAACACACGAGGCATGTAGAAGACCTACAAAAACACAGCAAATGGACTGCGTCGGCAGATTACAGGACCACTTTGACTATCAGGACAGATTGTTAAAGTAGAATATTATGTGATTTAATAATCTGGCCCACCAGATAACACCTGCATGAAACAATCAGAAGACCTGACATAGAAAATCACTGTTGATGATTTTAACAAGATTGGAAGTGACAGTCTGTTATTTCACTTAAAGCGCTAACAGAGGGAGTGTGGTCCTCAGAGTGAGAGAAAGAGATAAGAGGGAGAGGAGGGAGGAGGAAGAAGAGGAAGGAGGAGCAAGAAGAGAAGGTGCACGCATGCAAGTTCAATTGAAAATTGCAAAGGCCGGGCGCGGTGGCTCACGCCTGTAATCCCAGCACTTTGGGAGGCTGAGGTGGGAAGATTGTTGAGCCCAGGAGTTTGAGACCAGCCTGGGCAACATAGTGGGACCCTGTCTGCACAAAAATACAAAAATTGGCCAGGTGTGGTGATACACACCTGTGGTCTCAGCTACTCAGGAGGCTGAGGCGAGAGGATCCCTTGAGGCTGGGAGGTCAAGGCTGCAGTGAGCCGTGATTGCATCACTGCACTCCAGCCTGGGCAACAGAGCAAGAACCTGTCTCCAAAATATATACATAATAAACTAAAATACCATAAAGCTCTTAGAAAAGAGGAGTGAAGGATACTTCATATGCCATGTAGTTCACTGCATACGTTCATATTCAAAGGCAATAATTCAATAAGCAAAGGACACGTGGTATTCACCAGCAAATATCTGTGGACACATTCACAGAGCATTTGAAGCACCATAATATTATCATTTCCAATATCTTAAATGTACAGTCATATATCACAAATTTATCTCCTTCAATTTATTCTATTGTGGCAAGATGGACCACCAAAAGCAAACAAACAAACAAACAAAAACAAGTTAAGGAAATCCTAGATGAGTATGGATTTCTCACACTTGTCTTGGGAATACTTAGTTGCTGAAAGGGCCTAAACAGGTGACTGCACCCTGGTCGTGTGTATTTGCATGCCAACAGACTCACAACCAGTGCCTGCATCATTCCCGGGGCCACATCATTTTGCTTAGCCTCCTGTGGTTTGATTCCAATGCTCAGAAAAGGGAGTTTTATTTCCTTCGTCTCATATGATGCTGACAGCTTCAGCACTGTCTGCTATGTTCTCTTTTCTCTCTAGAACTGTCTGGAGTTTTAATGGTTCAAATCCTGATATCTGGTGATGCAGAAAATGAAATGGAACTCCAAGCAATATGCATGCAGATTCCACGCATGACTCTTTGACCCGGGGATGACAGACCAATCCTCCTTACCTTTATCATAGATTTCCTTCAGGACTCCTCGCTTTATCAGCTCTTCTCTGCTTTGCCTCATAGATATTTTCCTTTCCAGGGCTACAAACAAAAGACAAACAGGGAGGCAGATGTGAGTAGGTAACAAAGTTGTCTTCTAAAGGATCCTATGTTAACACATATGGCAATGTAACATACGAGAAAGCTTCTGTAAATCGTGCTTTGCTAATGTGAGCTAATGAGACATACCAGTTAATATGTTTTGATACTATCATAATAAACCTTTTAATCAGATGATGTCATTTAAGCTTCCAAATAATCTTCAAATTACCACCTATGACAGGGTAGGCATTCTTTTTTTTTTCTGAGACAGAGTCTCACTCTGTTGCCCAGGCTGGAGTACAGTGGCGCGATCTCAGCTCACTGCAACCCCTGCCTCCCAGGTTCAAGCGATTCTCCTGCCTTAGCCTCTTGAGTAGCTGGGACTACAGGCACATGCCACCACACACAGCTAATTTTTGTATTTTTAGTAGAGACGGGGTTTCATGGTTTGAGCCAGGATGGTCTTGATCTCCTGACCTCGTGATCCACTTGCCTTGGCCTCCCAAAGGGCTGGGATTACAGGGGTAAGCCACTGTGCCCAGCCAAGGTAGGCGTTCTTATTTAATTGAACCCCAATTTATGGTTGAACCTGTAGCACAGAAAAGCTCAACAACTTGTCAGAGTCACATCGCTATTGAGTAAAGGAACTGGGATTCAATGCTAGAAATGCCACCTTGGATGTCAGCCAAACCTCATGTCTTACTGAACTTTCCTGAACATGGTACTTCCTCCCAGGAGGGACTGCTGTTTCAATGATCTAGTTCATAGAGATCATGCCTCACTGAGGATTCTGTTGCTTTCCAACTATTTTAAAAAATGGTGTGAAAATATCTTCTGAGAAGTTCTCTGGTGTGGCCTCCCAAGGTCCGGAGGTGATACTGTCTAAAGGTAGGGGTGGCTTCCATGGCACGGCCCCTCCACTGCCTTCTTCTCTTAGGCTCCAAGCTGGAACAGCCAAATGGAGAAGGAACCATTCAGTTACCCAGTGCACCTCCACCATGGCCCCACCATGCACCTAGGTCAAGTGCTTGGGAAGGTGGCAGCGGGGCTGGAGGAAGGAAGAGGTAACAGTGGGTGTGCTGGGGGGCAAATCAAGTAGAAACAACCCAGGAGTGAGGAAATGAGGGGCTGCCCAAGAGGCAGGCCTGTGGCTCAAAGGAGGGACACAGGCGAACGTGGGGAGGAAAGAAGGCTATTCCAGCAGCTGGCGCAGTCTCCGGTACACACTGACTCAACCTCCACAGCCTTTGAAAACATATTCAGGGGAAAATCATCAGCTTTAAAATAAGGAAACTACTTTATGCAGACAAATTCAGATACAGATTAATTAAACACACACTGCCCTCAACGGAATTTAGTCCAAAGAATATGAAGAAGAACTAGAAAGAAAGCAAGCAACAAGGATTGTGGTTCTAACTCTGCCACCCTCTAAGCTATGGGACATGAGTCGAGTGACCTTAGTCAAGTCACTTTGCCACACTGGGAAAACACTGATGCCTCAGCCCAGCCATTCCAATTTCATAGGTCCGGGGTGGGACCAGGACATCTCCATTGTGATAAAAAAGCTCTCTGGGTTATTTTCAGGCATGACTCGGCTGAGAATCACTAATTATATATTTTGGAACTTACTATTTTAAAAATGTTACGTTCTAGCTCCCTCTCTGAAATTACAATGAATTAAGTGATATGAGGGAGAAAAATAAATGTTAGGTTAGAATGCACTCACGTAGAGCTGACAGAGAACATATTAATCCTAAAATAGAGACATAAATCTGTACCCACAGAAGTGACGGCAGGAGGGCTATATGGGAGGACAAGGGGGAAAGCTGGGTGCAGGAAACATGGAAACAGTGTTTGTGTGGGGGTTCAAGAGTTTTATTTGTCAAACCAGATGACATTATATGGTGGCAGGAAGGCAAAAAGATGTTCTATTCAGAGCTTGGGGAAGGGCTGGAGAAGGGACAGGGAATTGCATGCAGTTAGGTTAGAAAGTTCTGCCTGATTTGAAAAGATCTGCTAAGCAGCCGGGCGCGGGGGTTCACACCTATAATCCCAGCACTTTGGGAGGCCGAGGTGTGTGGATCATTTGAGGTCAGGAGTTTGAGACCAGCCTGGTCAACATGGTGAAACCCCATCTCTACTAAAAATACAAAAATTAGTTGGGCGTGGTGGCGCATGCTTGTAGTCCCAGCTACTTGGGAGGCTGAGACAGGAGGATTGCTTGAACCCGGGAGGCAGAGGTTGCAGTGAGCGAGATTGTGCCACTGCACTCCAGCCTGGGCAACCCACGGAGACTCTGTCTCAAAAAAAGAAAAGAAAAGAAAAGAAAAGATCTGCTAAGCAGCACAGCAGCACAGCGGAAGAAGACTGGACAGGTAAGGTGAAGCAGGGGGGCTTTAAGTACGGGGTTTGTTACAGATGTTTGGGTGACAAAAAGCCATCCGAATATAAAGAGATGCTTTCCCCTTCTGTACTTAACCGCATAAATAAAACGGATTTCTCTTAAACAAAATGAGGTTTCCTAGGTGTTGTAAACCACAGACTAAAGTGGAGAGACCTGGTCTACAGCGCTAAAGGAAGATCTGCAATGAGGTGAGCAGAACCCTGGACTTGGAGGTCCAAGATCCTGAGCTATTAAGAGAAATGTGGATGTTCTCAGGCTAAGCACTCAGCCATCTGGACATCAGCTGTCACTCAACAACTGTGGATCTGCTGTCCATGGTCAAAGGCACCGGCTGGGGCTGGAAATAATGGTGACCAAAGAGACAGCCATCGCCGTGATAGAGTTTACAGACTCATGTGACATTCAGACCATCATCAAATGATGATATTACTTAATGTGTGATCACAAGTTAAGATCAGTCCTCCTTAAGAAAAGGGACAAGTTCCTATCAGAGCATATGGTAAATATTGTCCCTGATTGGGGTGTTGGAAAAGGCTTTTCTGAAGAAGAGATCTTTGAGCTGAGGGGGGCTGGGTAGGGGCCAAGGGAAATGCTCCAGATAGAGCAGCCTGCTCTAGATGGAGAAATCATGGTTCCAGGAAGGAACAGAAAGAAAGCTGGTGTGGCTGCAGCTGCCAGCATCAGATGAAGAATGTTTGAGATGGGGTAGGAGGCTGGGCCATGAAAGGCCTCATGGACCATGTTATTCTAAGAGCAATGGGAAGAAATGAACAGCTTTGAGAATATGAAAGATGAACATTCACTTTAATATAGAGAATGGATTGGAAAGAGGCCAATGACTAGGTGATTACAGGCATCTAGGCAGGGGATGATGGTAGCTGAAATGAAGATGCTGTTGACAGTGACAAAAGATGCACCCAAGACGTGTGAAGGTGGCAATGTAGACACAACTAGATGTTAAAGCTTGGACAGGGATATGCAGGAAAGAGAAAGGCCAAGGAGGATACCTTGGTTCTTGACTGCATAACTCAATGGACGGTGCTGTCCATGACTAAGGCAGGGAATACGGGGTGAGAATCGGGGTTGGAGGATGCATGACAAGTTCGATGCTAGCCACATCCAAGAGACGTTATCAAGCATGTGCTAGGGAAATGCAGTTGGATACTTCATCAAACAGACATGGGAAGTTAAATGAGAATGTGCTACGTGGCACAGACTATGCCAGATGCTTTCACGCACCAGTGCTTCTCAAACTTTTCCATGGAAACATTCCTTATGACACAGGGAGAATACTAGGGGCTCCAAGTGTATGACTCAAAGTTGCCCATGCCAAGCATTAAAGAAAGTACATTTCTTTAACGTCCTAAGTTTCCTTTAAAAGTAAATGTAGAAATCACATAATATATCTGTTTTAGTTTAAATAAGAAAATACTCCTGCTCCATCACCACCAATTTCCAAGTTAAAGTGACATGCTGGAAAGAGATGGCTTATTTCTTCTATGGCTTTGTCCATTCCTGGTATAGAACCCTGAGCCCACAGCGAATGCACAGATTATTTTGAGAAGCATGAAAAATTGTTACTTAACTTAATCTTCACCACAATCCTGTAAAGTATAATCATTCCCAATTTACAAGGAGGTACCTGAGGCCTAGCAAAATGAACTTACTCAGAGTACCACAGCTGTAAGTGGAAGGGCAGAAAGAGATTTTAATGCTCTTCCCTTTTTCTCCATGACGCAACATCATTGTGAGAATGATTATAATGTATAGGAAAACAAAAAGGCTCTAAAAACAGAAGGCAATCTGATTTGAGTTTACTTGGGTTGAAAGTCATAGTAAAGTGACATAATTCCACTTTACTCTCAGGAGCTTCTTTCTTCCCTGTAAGGAAATCTTCAGGTTTTTTTTTTTTGAGAGGGAGTCCTGCTCTGTCACCCAGGCTGGAGTGCAGAGGCATGGTCATGGCTCACTCCAACCTCTGCCTCCTGGGTTCAAGTGATTCTCCTGCCTCAGCCTCTCCAGTAGCTGGGATTACAGGCGCCTGCTGCCACTCCTGGCTAATTTTTGTATTTTTAGTAGAGACGGGGTTTCACCATGTTGGCCAGGCTGGTCTCGAACTCCTGACCTCATGATCTGCCCGCCTTGGCCTCCCAAAGTGCTAGGATTACAGGCGTGAGCCACTGTGCCCAGCCAGGAACTCTTCTCTTCTTACCATCTCTCTTAACAAGGTATGCATGACACCTCTCTTCTGGTTTTACTTTAAGCAGCTCTTCCAAAGTCGGAGCTAAGTTTCAGTGGGGTCAAAGTGTTCTGCAGCAGGCAGGTGTATGCACACCTACCCCCCATGTCTGAGGAAGCTGAGAGGACAAAGAAAAGCTGAGAAATTAATCTTCTGAATTTGTACTAGGGACTCACAAACAGAAGCCAGGGCTGGGTCTTGGGCAGCAGTGAGATGAGATAGTGGATCCCCAGGCCATTATTCTCCCAGACCCAGGGCTTATATACTATATGGAAAGGGTCTGCATGATTGAAAAGAAAGTGTAGGACAACCGAAGCATGGTAACATTAAGGTTGTTTTGACCTAAGGGCAGCACTTACGGTAAGTACATGCTCTTGCACAAAGAACAGTAGATAAATTGGAAATCTCAGAGGCCTTCTAAGACCTGGGGTTAATCAGAAGCCAACATGGTGGATTAGCATCCAAGATGAAGTTGCTTTAACTTTTACACTAGGACAAGCTCAACACTGCTCCAGGAAGTAAAATACTGTGGGTTGACTGGTGCAAAGGGACAACCATTGGACCTGGTTTATGACTGACCCGTAAAACACAGCGGGAAATGGGGTTGATATGGGGAAAAAAGAAAATACAATGGTTTCCCTTCTCACAAACTGGGTATGGTCTGACCCTCCTTCCTCGATAATTTTGGCTTTGGGTAGAACAAACATGAAAAAGGAAGAAAAAAGAAGGAATTATGAAAAGTTAAAGAATTTAGAAGAAGAGGAGTGAGCCACCGAGAAAGGGAGAAGGTGTGATGTGTCATGTACCAGCCCGACGGATGGCAGGGATAAGATAAATCAGCTAAATGAGAACCGAGGTGTGAGGGTGAGCTGACTGCCTGGGAGTATTTGGTCTTTGGGAGGTAGAAAATGAAAGTGAACAGAACAAAGCAATCCATCCCTTTAAGCAAACATCTGTATTTCTAGAGGTGCTGGAAAAGCATGAGAGCAGATATTATTTTTATATAAAAAAATAAAGTCAGAAGGACTTATTTTAAAACAAGAAAACCTATTCTCAAATCCAAAAATCACTCTGATATTATACAGTTATTAAAATACACGGCAGGCTGGGCACGATGGCTCAAGCTTATAATCTCAGCACTTTGGGAGGTTGAGGTGGGCCTCACTTGAGGTCAGGAGTTCAAGATCAGCCTAGCCAACATGGTGAAACCCCATTTCTACTAAAAATACAAAAATTAGCCAGGCGTGGTGGCCTGTAATCACAGCTTACTCAGGAGGGTGAGGCAGGAAAATTACTTGAACCCAGGAGGTGGAGGTTGCTGTGAGCTGAGATTGCACCACTACACTCCAGCCTGGGCAACAGAGTGAGACTCCATCTCAAAAAACAAAATAAAATAAAATAAAATACAGGGCAGTATAAAATCCAAGTGTCCACACGAGGGGATGCTTCAGTGTAAACCATTTGGTTATAAAACTGGATTGCAGTGATGGCTGCACAACCCTTTAAATTTACTGAAATCATTTACTGAAATATACTTACAATGGGTTCATTTTATGGTATGTAAATTATACCTCAATAAAGTTGTTAAAGAAAAATGCCTGTAATAGCAAAAGCATTAGTTAAAAAAATGAAAATAGTAAATCTAAGCAGACTAAGAAATTAATAAACTTTAGGTCACAAAAAGCTAGGAGGCCAACATTAAAATTGAAAAATTAGAAATATAGCATATAAAGGTAAATTTCTTTTCAGCAATGTTTTAAACCTCTAACACCTAATTGATCAGTAGAACCAAAACAGAAAAATCCGGAGTCTAGTTCTCCCCAAAATGAATATGTGGCTTAGAAGGTGGCCAAGGCAACTCCCTGATCTTTAGAAAATAACCAAATTTCCAGCCTGCAGTCAATGCAGAAAACCATCAGAGGCTTTACAATGTGATGCTGGCAACTGAAACACCAAAAGAGAACTACATAAACCAGCAAAGGTGCAAAGACTACTTCTAGAAACATCTAGTCTACAATTCAAAACCAACATATGAGAAGCCTGAAGACAGAAAGCAAAAAAGCAAATTGTGCTTTGCTTTTATAGACCAACAATGTTAGCTGACAAGATCCAGACATGTAAAAAAAGAGATTTCGCATATCTCACTTGCCTGAAATATGACTGGAAGAATGATTTCTCAATTAGAGTGCCAAACATAGCCAAAAATGGCCCCAAGAAACTGTATTTAAAGGTTGGCATGTCCAAGGAAGGCTCTCTAAACTTGCCTTCAAACTCTGCCTTAATATAAAAACTAGGCATGAAACCTCAAAAGGCATGGCTATTCTTGCATCTTTACCACTGTGTATTCACCATGCACTTTTATTCTGTATTACTGATGCTCTGACACCTCGGAGGCTTGCCGACCCTGGATGGACTGCCTCTCCTGTGGCTGGCTGATTCCCAGAGAGAGTGAATAGAATTCTTTGAATGTGCCTTTCACATCCAAATGAATCTATTCAGAGCCCACAGTCCTGACCACCTCCTTTAATGAGCTAGTACATTCCCAGTCGCTGTGCACCTGTCCTCAGCACTCCAGGGCCGGTACTAGATGACTAGAGACCACCCCTATGTGACAGAGCCCACTGAAAGTGTTCCTGCTGGCCAATCCTAAGCCTGCTTATTCTGTCTTGCCTGTTCCTTCCCATGGAAACCACAAACAAGGCTCACGCCCACATTTTCCTCCCATACCTCCCCCTGTGTGGCCCTGCTTGGGTGGCATGCCCCTTGCTCTTGGGATTTGGGAGTAAAACAATCTTTTCAATGGCAGTTGTCTTCTTATCTGTTGGCCTCACCATACCTGAAGAATAATAAAATCTCCAGTTTAAAACACACCAATCTTTGCACTAGTTTGTAAAGAAGGAAAAAACAGGAAAACTAGGGAAATTCTCACAGCTTTCTGTTCCACTTTGTTGTTCTAAAATCTGTCTGTATGTGAGCCAGTACTTTAGAAATGAGCAGTCTGGAGATAAAGGACCAAAGACCACCTCTACTAACAGTGACAGTAGTTCTAGTTTAGTCATTTTTTAAACTCCTCTTCTGAGCCACCATGTCAGTCTATGCTGTATTTACGAAAGCCAGTTCCCCATGATACCTCCTTAATGTATTTTCCCAGTCTCCCTTTCCATATGAATTTGTGATGAGCCAGGGAATCCTATGCCTCTTTGACATTGATGAATTTTTTTTTTTTTGAGACGGAGTCTTGCTCTGTTGCCCAGGCTGGAGTGCAATGGCTCGATCTTGACACACTGCCACCTCCACCTCCCAGGTTTAAGCCTTTCTCCTGCCTCAGCCTCCCAAGTAGCTGGGACTACAGGCACCCACCACCACGCCTGGCTAATTTTTTGTATTTTTAGTAGAGACATGGTTTCACCATGTTGGCTAGGCTGGTCTCAAACTCCTGACTTCAGATGATCCGCCCACCTCTACCTCCCAGAGTGCTGGGATGATAGGTGTGAGCCACTGCGCCCAGCCTGACATTGATGAATTTAAAATAAGCATCTTGGATGGGCTCATTCTCCTTGGTGGAATACCTAGGTTAGATGAATTTGTTAAAAATAGGGCATTTAAAAAAATGTCTTGCACATACACACACACACACACTTATTTATAAAAATAATACATGAAAATATTTTACTGTAAAAAACTCAAGAAATCAAGAGAAAACAGTCCTTTTCACTTTCTCTCCCTCCATAGGCTAACTCATCAAATCCACTACTGCCTCCATCTTTTTCCCCGCCTCTCCCCTGCAACAGTCATACCTTCCCAGACCATATACAAATACCATTTTAAAAACATAAATGAAATCATTCTATGCATGTTGTTCTACAAGTCTTTTTCTTCCTCTAACTTATCAAATGGTTCCATAGCTCTTCCCACCTCATTCTTTTTGAGTACTGCATGCCATTTCATGGGATGTAGGTACTATGATTTATTTAACCAGCCTGCAGCTGAAGGCAAGTTAAGTTGTTCCCACATTGTGGCATACAAACATCGCTACTGTGTTCATACTTGTTCAGGCACTCATGTAAACATGTATAAGGATTTTTCTAGAATATATAGCTAGATGTACAATTTCTGGGCCGGGTATTTTCTATGTGCTCCCAGTACTGATGGAAGAAAGAAACTCTTATGTTCCATGACTTTTAAGTATTGATGAAGTAAAGATGAAGAAGTTGGAGAAAAAGCAATATTGATGTTAGAACAAGTCATTTGGTCCTGCTCAGATTACCAGAGCAGAAACTTATTTAGATTTCTCTCCAGGACAATCTATCTCTGTTGAATTCTCTGCTCAACTGCCTTTAAATTACATTCTGAAGGGAATAGAAAGTTGAAGGGGGAAAAGCAATTGAGAAATGATGAAATTTGTGGTAGCTTACTGCTGAGTAGTTTACTTGCAAGTCAAATCTATAGCTTTTATCCTTTGTAAATCTTACAACTCCAGTAAAAGGAACTTTTTAGGCTAGAAATCTACAAGTGACAAATGCAATGAGCCTCCAGAACCTAGAACATGCCTCCACTTCCCATCTGTCTTCATGAGTAATGAGAATTATTCATATGATACAATAACTGCAGCCTAGAAAGACTCAAAACATAATAATCAACCCACGTATTAGTGTGATGCAACACCTATAGCCTAGAAGGATTCCAAATGAAACAATCAATCCACATTTATGCTATCTCTAGAGAAAAATGCTTTCTTAAGATAAAGAGATGTTTCAAAATTAAGTTTATATAAACAATATATAAAAGAGGAGAAAGGGGAGCAATGAGAAAAACCTAGTGGTCTTCCATTTCAAAAGACCAGGTGGCAAATATCAGTTCATCTTTTATGTCATAAGGAAGTTAATGAGAAAATAAATAAGGTTGTCAATCTAATGATATGTTGAAAATGGAAAGGAATGTAAAAAAGAAAAAAGAATGCAACTCTGAATGTCTAATTTTAGACAACATGATATGCTAAACATATTCAATAAAAAGTCATATTAATCTAGAGGCAATTTGTATGAGTACCACATATTGGGTCTTTCACTACCTCAGGTACCATGAATATCTAAACATTTTGCCAGTAACCCAGTTATTACTAGGTAAGAGGGTTTTCAATTACTTGATAATCCAAGGAAAGCTTATCGAATCACTAATTCAAAATGAAAGAAAATTTATTATTATTATTATTATTTTCTGAGGCAGAGTCTCACTCTGTTGCCAAGGCTGGAATGCAGTGGTGCAATCTTGGCTCACTGGAAACTCCACCTGCCAGGCTTAAGTGATCCTCCCACCTCAGCCTCCCAAGTTGCTGGGACAGGCATGCGGTACCACACCAGGCTAACTTGTATTTTCTGTAGAGGTGGGGTTTCGCCATGTTGCCCAG
This sequence comes from Homo sapiens, assembly GCF_000001405.40. Classification (NCBI taxonomy): domain Eukaryota; kingdom Metazoa; phylum Chordata; class Mammalia; order Primates; family Hominidae; genus Homo; species Homo sapiens. The sequence goes on along the minus strand of NW_013171803.1, from coordinate 53,355 downwards.
GCTAGTCTCGAACTCCTGGGCTCAAATGATCTGCCTGCCTCGGCCTTCCAAACTGTTGGGATTACAGGTGTGAGCCACTGTGCCCAGCCAGAAAATTCTTTTTATATTTGGCAACTAAGGCCAAGTGATCCTCAAAAGCAGAGAGAGGCAGGTCAGTTTAGAACTTTTTTCCTCTCTAAAAATCCAAACCACATGGAACTTCTATCTAAATCAGGGATGTCCAATCCTTTGTCTTCCCTGGGTCACATTACAAGAATTGTCTTGAGCCACATATAAAATACACTAACACTAACAATAGTTGATGAGCTAAAAAAAAAAAAAAATCGCAAAAAAAAATCTCGTAACTTTTTAAGAAAGTTTACGAATTTGTGTTGGACTGCATTCAAAGCTGTCTTGGGCTGCATGTGGCCCAGGGGCTGCAGGTTGGACAAGCTTGAAATCTGAGGGCTCACTGTCCTTGTTGCAAGACAATAAGCATAGATCCTGATCTCTGCTCTCTGTTAGCCCCTCCCCCATGATCACAGTAGGAACTTTAGCAGAGTCGACGTGAACAAAATCCCTCATTTCCAACACAGACGCCCAACCACTCTACTTGTGTAAAGCTGCACAGTGAGCCTGGATAAATTCTTCATGGCCCATGAGGTACGAGATGAGACTTTATTTACTATGGTTTGCAATTATATCCAAGTCATCTACATCAGCACTTTCTAAAGTCTGTTTTTGCAGAATAGTAACCCACAGAGATGCTCTGAGAAAAGGGTTCTGTGCACAAATAATTTTGGGAAATGCCATGTACTGCTGGAGAATCACCATGTTCATTAGCACACTGAAGGCCCTGAGAAGACTTGGAATAAAGGAAGCAGTGTAACTCAGTTTCACCGTTCCTCCCCAGTTCGTTGGACAATATGACCCTTTTATGGAGTACCATGGGGCTGGTGCTCTGAGAAAAAGCCTCTGGGAGATGCTGATCTAAATACCAGATTGCAGAAAGCAAATGAGGTGTTCTGTTGTAAAAAGGCACCAGGGAGGTCAGCTCGCTCAGCAGGGGCCGTGCTCTTTCATCAAGAGCTTTCTGGTAAACATTTGAAACAAACACAACCGAAAACCCTAAGTCCAGCAATATCAAGTTAGGAAGACATGATGACCTGGAAGATCCTAATAGATCAGAATGACCAACCGTCTACCTACCTGCACTCCTGTGGTCTTGGTAGAAACTTCAGTCAGTAGAGACCTGCATTCCAATGAGCTCCCTTGGCTGGGCCAGCCCTCATGTGCATTCCCCTAATAAAGAAAGCTATAGACTTCCTGAAGAAGCTCAAGCAGCCCAGTACTACAGAGTATCTCCTCAAGATAACAATTTTGGTTTTGATTTCATTTCTATTAGGCTTGTCTTCTGAAAATAATTCAGATAGCATACTTTCCTCTGGAGTGATACAGTATGAGGTAGACCATGTCATTAACACAGAGGAGCCTACTTGTTTTCCTCTTGACTATGGGATAAGTACCTGAAGTCAGGTCCTATGGGAGCTCTGTTAACTGAGTAGGTATATGTGAAAAAAAAGGAAGGAAACAGCCTCATTTTCAGCATGCTGTCAAAAGTGCATTCTTCATGAATTTTGATTGGATCTTAGTTTGAACAAACCAGCTGTTGAAGCATTTTGGGGTCAGCTAGGTAAATATGAATATGAACTGGGTATTAGATCATATTAGGGAATTATAATTAGTTTTGCTACATATAATGGTCTTGGATTACACAGAACACTTTCCTTATTTTTTTTGGAGATGTATGATTACAGACGTCTGCAATTTACATTAAAACACTTCAGAAGGAAAAAGCAATTGATATAGGCAAATCTTAGTCATGTGATGGCAATGCAATTATAGCATATATAGTTATATCATTATACAATTCTCTCAACTTCTCTTATGTTTGCAAATTTTCAAAAAAAAAAAAAACCAGTAAACACACAAATGAATCTTACAAGCCATGCTGAGTGAAAAAAAAACAAGGCAAAAGAACACATATACTATGGTTCCATTTATATAAAGTTCAAAAACCAGAAAAACTCAATATATGGTTTAGAGAAATGTATCTCTAAGCTTTAGAACTACAAAGCAAAGGAAGGCTATGATTACAATAAAATATCAGGACAGTGGCTACCTCTGGTGGGGAGGGGAATTACAATTAGAAAGGTACATTAAGGGGCTTCCAGGTGCTGGCAATATTTACTTTTTTTGACTTGGGCAGTGGTTACACGGTGTTCACTTTATGACCAACTGTTAAACTGTATATTGATGCTTAACCCACTTTCTCAATTTATATTTTATTTCCCACATAAAAAAAATTAAACGACATTGTTACTAACTCTGCTTCTTTGTACTATTGCAATAGTTTCTGAGGGGGAATAAAACACTCAGTCATCATATAATGAAATCATGCAGCTGGCCAGTAAACTAACTCCTGTTAATGAAAGAAAGGGTGGTTATAAGGCAATAAATGCCACAATAAGTCTTTTCCTGGTCATTTCTTCAAATAGGTCAGACAAGAGTGCAGAAGGTTGCTCTTAACAAACACTTGCTTAGTCTCTTTCCAAGTCTCCAGAGAGCAAGACGGAAACTTGAAGTATTGGGGGAAGAAAGCCAGCAGAAAGTTTTAGAGGTGAGTAATTTTACAGAAGTAAGGATTCTGAATTTGGAAAATAGGATTGACTATCCTTGAAGACCATGTTTAAAGTGACAAGTCAGAAGCAACTGAGAGAAGATAGCTTTGCAAGGACCAGGCTGCATATTCTTGGGAGTGCACCGAGGAAAATTTATGTTACAACTTACAGACTCCATTTTCTATCTCTCTGCACCAACCTGCACAGGGAACTTCAAATCAAATTCGAACAGAATAAATATCAGTTGTCTTTTCTGAGAATGATGAGAAATAATTCCGTCTCCATTTATTGGTCCCTTATTATGGGAACGTGGTAAAACATGACTTGATAAAACTAAGATCTGAAAAATAAACTATGTTAAGCCCCACGTACAACCTTCACTTTGTCCTTTCACATATATATCACCTATTAGGACAGACTTTTTCATTAAATGTGAAACAGGTGACCCTGCAGTGAAAGAGAATGTCATGTGATGAAAGTGTTGATGTTAGACACAAACGCTCAATGCTCTGGGGCTTGCTTGTATTACTTGTAAGAGGGTGTATCATAACATCTAATTTTTTTGTGATTGTGCTCAGATCCACAATTCACATTTCCACCCTGTTCTCTGCTGCCTTTAACACTCCCCCCAGGAATAAAAAGAAAATTCATTGATTCAGAGCTAGTGAAGTGGGTTTCTCCTTCCAGATGTAGGAAGTATAATGGTGTACTGTATTTCATTCCAGACACCTAATTATTATTGATCGCTTTATGATAGAAGTGTATTGCCCAAAGCACTGAAGAATGGAAATCTGAAATCCTGCCCAGAACGGCTTAATATCCCAGCTACCACCTGTTACCTAAAAGATAATAGCACCCTTGTTCAAAGTGTTTTGTGGTGCCAAGTTAATGGAAATAAGCTTGCCTGCTTGGCGGCTTGCTTTTTGACTCATGGTTGGATCAACCCTGCTGCAATGAAATCTTCAGAAGACAGTGTTAAGATAGTCAGGTTTTACATTCTTACTGCTTTGACTTTTTATCAGACAGAGAAAGACAGCAGTGTTAGATTGAGGGTTTTTGGTTGTTCTTATTATCTATGGTTAGAAGAAAGTTAGCTAATAATTTTGAACCAAAATTTAAAAAATCATAACTATGCATAGCTATGTCAGATGTCTATCCAGACAAATATTTTGCCTGAAGGGGACATTTTGTGTGAAGACTTGATTTCTCCCCATTATCACCATGGTAACACTTATTATGTATTAGGAACCATGCACTCTGTGCTTTCCACATAGTACTTTATGTAGTAAGTCTTACAACAACTCTGAGAGGTTGGCACTATTATCCACACGACAGATAAAGAAGATGTTACATGACCTGCCCAAGTTGCAGAGCTGCACTTGAACCCAAGCCATGGGATTCCATTGTGAGAACACTTAAGGATGACATTATCACTGCCTTTTTAAGCCTTACAAGCTAGGGATATGGCCCACAGTTTGTCAAGCAGATCTGCAAATGAACAAACTTGTACAGATAGGCTTTCGTGTATATACAGAAGAACTAAAGATACAATATTTTGCTCTCTCCTAGGCAGAATTTTGGCTTGATATATTAGTCTGCAAGGGCTGCCATGACAAAACACTATAGACCGGCTTAAACAACAGGAATTTGTTTTCTCACAGTTTTAAAGACCAGAGGTCCAAGATAAAGATCTTGACCCTTTTGGCTTCTGATGAGGGCTCACTTCCTGGCTTGCGGATGGCTGCCTTCTTGCTGTGTGTTCACGAGGCCTTTCCTTGGTTCGTGTGCTCAGAGAAAGAGAGCTCTCTGGTGTCTCTTCTTGCAAGGACGTTAATTCTATCAGATCAGGGATCCACATTTATAACCTCATTTAACTTTAGTTACTTCCTTACACCAAATACAGCCACGTGTGGGTTAGGGCTCCAACATATGAATTTGGTGGTGGGGCGGGCACAAACATTCAGTCTATAACATTTATAAACTGTGATCACTTCTTAAATCATTTTTATTAAGTTTAGCAGTTAATTGTCATTGAATGAGATTTCACATATGAAGACCAAGCACATTGCCTTAAACATAAAACTCAATCAGCTGTGACTGTTATTATTAGCACTCTCCTACTTTAGGAAAAAATTAAACTATTCAGAGGAAATAAGTCACAAATGTATAATTTAACTTTCTTCTTGTATACATATATGATAAGGTAATACCCATATTTAGGAAGGCAAATATTTGCTCAGCTACTTCTCAAGAGTCATTTCAGGTGGTGAGAACTACACAGGGAAGAAATGTGCAGATTTTCTGTTGATTCTGATGCCTATCCTTGAAATACTGAGCTATAACAAGACTTTTATACCAAAGCAGAATAGACATGCTCACGGAGGATATGCACAATAACTGCTTCTTAAAAATAGATAACCAATTGATTAAGCATCATTTATTTTACAGAGCCTATTTCATTGCAACAGTAATTTTTTCCTTGAATTAGATGTTTATATATGTTTGAATTGAAATCTAGGCACTTTCTTATTTTCTACTTGTATCTTTGCCTATCCTGCACCTGTACTACATTGTTCTAATCACTGTAGCCTCATCATTAGACTGAACATCTAGTAGTATACATCCTTTAACTTGGTTCTTCAATTGCTCTTACCATTCTTGGTCCTTTGAATTTCCACACATACTTTTTTTTTTTTTTTTTTTTGAGACAGGGTCTCAGTCTGTTGCCCAGGCTGGAGTACAGTGGAGTGGCATGATCATGGCTCACTGCAGCCTCCACTTCCCGGGCTCAGGCAATCTTCCCACCTCAGCCTCCCAAGCAGCTGGGACTACAGTCATGTGCCACCACATTTGGCTAATTCACACATATTTTAGAATCAGTTTGTCAATTTTCATAAAAAAACCTATTGGGGTTTTTATTAGAATTACACTGAATCTTGAGATCAATTTAGGGAGGACTGGCATCTTTACAATATTGAGTCTTCTAGTCCATGAATATGCTCCATCTCTTCATTTTATTTTTATGTGACTAAAAACAGGATTTAAAAATTATTTTCAATATGTGTTGCTGGTATATAGCAATACAATTTATTTTTATATATTGACCTTGTATCCAGAGATCTTGCTAAATTCATTTAGTTCTAATAGTTTATGAGTAGATTTTATTGTATCTTGTAGGTACATAATTATGTCATTCACAAATAATGGTTTTATTTATTGCTTTCAATCTTTAAACCTTTATTACCTTCTCGTCCTTTATTGCTCTGGCTAGGTCTTCTAGTGTCATGCTGAACAGAAGAGGTGAAAACAGTCCATCTTTTCTTATTCTAATTTCAGGAGAATATCCTTCATTATTTCACAATTAAGCTTGTTATCTACTGTGAGTTTTCTTCTTAGTTTTTGTAAATAACTTATATCAGAATTTAGAAGTTCCCTTCTATTTCTACCTTGCTTCAAGTTTTAAGAATGAATGTAAAATTTTATTAAATTTTATCTGCACCTATGAATTGATCATAAGATATTCCCCTTTATTCTGCTAACAGTATAAATAATATTGGTTGAGTTTGAATATTACAAAAACTACGCATTCACAGGACCAATCCAACTTTAACTGTGACATATTATCCTTTTAAATATATCATCAGATTCAATTTCCTAATATTTTATATAAATTTTTTATGTTTATATAATGAGAGATATTGGCCTGTAATTTTTCTGTCTTATGGTATCATTACCATGTTATGGAATCCAATTTATGCTAGTCTTTTAAAACAAGTTGGGAAGTCTTTCCTCATTTTATTTTTTAATTTATATTTATTTTTATCACTCAAGTGTTTGAGCACCAGGGGTAGCAGTATCACTTGAAGGTTTACTTTAAAATGCAAATTTCCACAATTGAAAATGTAAAAACATTTTTTAAAATGCAGAATCTCAGGCCCCAGCCCAGAACTACTGAATCAGTATCTGTGTTCCAACAAGATCCCCAGGAGATATCTGCACACACAGTTCGAGAAGAAAACGATTTATATATCTTTTTAAATTTTAAGTTTTTGTGGATAAATAGTAGTTGTATATATTTATGGGATATGTGGGATGTTTTGATATAGGCATGCAATGTGTAATGATCACATCAGAGTAAATGGGTATCTATCACCTCAAGCATTTATCCTTTGAGTTACAAACCATCCAGTTATACTTTTAGTTATTTTTAAATGTAAGATTAAATTATTATTGACTATAGTCACCCTGTTGTGCTAGCAAATGCTAGTTCTTATTCATTTTCAACTATTTTTTTGTACCCATTAACCATCTCCACTTCCCTTCCTTTCTACCCTCAACTACCCTTCCCAGCCTCTGGTAACCATCATTCTATCATCTAACTCCATGAGTTCAATTGTTGAAATTTTTAGCTCTCCAAAATAAGTGAGAACATGTGAAGTGTGTCTTTCTGTGCTGGGCACTTTCCTCTTTTTATATTATCTAGAGTCAGTTTGTGTAAAACTAATATTATTTCATTATTAAATATCCGGGAGACTTCATTAATGAAGGAAGCTGGGCCTAAAGTTTTCTTTTGGCAAGGTTTTTAATTACCAATACAATTTGTTCATTAGGTATAGTAGTCGTGTTTTCTTTTTTTTTTTCACACTTCTCAATTTTAGTATTTACTACAAAGCCACAGTAATCAAGACAGTATGGTACTGGCATAAAAACAGGCATAGAGATGAATGGAATAGAATCGAGAATCCAGAAATAAACTCTCATATTATGGTCAATTGATTTTTGACAAGGGTACTGAGAAAATTCAAAGGGGAAAAATAGAACTTTTTAAACAAATGGTATCAGGACAACTGAATATCCTCATGCAAAATAATGCAATTGGACCCCTACCTTACATTATATTAAAAAATCAAGTGAAAATGAATCACAGACCTAAACAGTAGAGCAAAAACTATAAACTTCTCACAAGAAACAGGTGTAAATCTTCATGACCCTGGATTAGGCAATGGCTTTTTAGATATGACACCTAAAGGACAAGTACATACACATACCCAAAGTAAAACTATTGGATTCTCGGCCAGATGCGGTGGCTCACACCTGTAATCCTAGCACTTTGGGAGGCCGAGGCAGGTGGATCACTAGAGGTCAGGAGTTCAAGACCAGCCTGGCCAACTTGGTGAAACCCTGTCTGTACCAAAAAATACAAAAATTAGCCAGGTGTGGTGGCGCATGCCTGTAGTCCCAGCTACTGGGGAGGCTGAGTCAGGAGAATTGCTTGAACCCAGGAGGCAGACAGTAGTTGTGTTTTCTATTTCTTCTTTTTTCTTCTTAAATTTCTTTCAACTGCTTTTATTTTAATTGAATAATGAAACCTTCAACCTTAATGTCCAAGTAATTTAGAAATGTGCTTTCCCGTTCTGCACACTAAGCACATTGTGTTTTGTTCAGCCTCAGCCCTCTCCCCTTGCATGGCAAGACGTTTCAACCAGAAGCAGGGTCTGGGTTTAGCTGGATTGCACCCCAGCATTTATCACTTAATGATAAAAATAGTGTGGAAAATATCCATTATCCTCAAATAGGGGCAATGAATTATTCTTCTGTATTTGGGAAAAATCAACCTTTAGTAACTGCATACTATCATGGAAAAAAACAATCCCAGAATATTTAAGTGGCAGGTTTGAGAATCAAATGTTTACCCTAACTGCAATTGAAAAAAGCTGAAAAACAAGCACAACAAAAAAAAAAAAAAAAAAAAGAAAGAAGAAATCTAAACATGTGTGGAATAAAGAAAATAGAGAAGAAAGGTCTAAAAGCACAGTGCTACTCAAAGCTCTAGTTGAAGCGTTCTTGATCTTACAGAACGCCATCATCCTCACGGTAATGACAAGGCAGCGAGACAGGGCAGGAAGCACACTGCTTCCTTAAATGAGCACCCAGACTTCTCCACTAGTTTTTTGTGACTGCAACTTCTGATTTTGTTTTTGACGAGTATTTTTACACTTATTTTGAAATAAATGTCACACGCATAGTGGAAGCTGACGAACAGGCAATCCTTAATTCACAAATAAAAATAGCAGACATCATTTTCTTTCATTTGTTTGAGTCAGGTTCTTTAGGACATCATGAATGGAGCTTTGTTCCATAATATTGTCCAGCAATTTCTTAGTTCTAGAGACTGACCCCCAGTTGATTTGAGTTGGGTTGATCTGAGTAAAGGTCTGAGCCAAGGCAGCAATTTAGAATTCAAATTCTGCTTCTTAGTACAATCTTGGCTGGAGTTAGGGAGGGGATAAAGGATTTGGCCATGGGGCTGATGGGAACCCAGCTGATCTCAATGGTGTTCAAAGGCAAATGCAAACTGTCAAACCCATTTTCTTTTTCTTTCTGGCATACTCATAAAAGGGACTCTGCTGGTCCTCACCATTGGGTTACTAGAAACTCTTGCCCGAGGTTATATTCTACACAATATTATAGGAACAAGTGATGAAAACAGATCAATCAACTTGATTTGATTTCTCCCCTCATTAAAACATCCTGTCACTTGACAGAGCTAAATAGATAAATTAATTTCTGTGAAACCATGAAGATAGAGGCTAAATAGAAAGTTTGTCTGGACTCTGTCATGCATTATATCAAAACTATTAGTTCCATGGTACTGACAGCTTCATTTTTTACAAACATTTTGGTAGACTATAAATAAGAAAATTTATCATCTTAACCATTTATAAGTGCACAGTTCAGCAGTGTTAAATAGATTCACATCATTGTGCAACCATCTCCAGAACTTTTTCAACTTGTAAAACGAAAACTTTGTATTCACCAAACAGTAACTCCTCATTCCCCTACAACCCAGGCCCTGGCAACCACCATTCTACTTCCTGTCTCCATGAGCTTGGCTATGATAGGTGTCTCATTAAGTGGAATCATACAGTATTTGTCTTTTTTGTGACTGGCTTATTTCATTTAATACAATGTCCTCGAGGGTCATCCGTGCTATACAATGTGTCAGAATTTCCTTTCTTTTTTAATGATGAGTAATACTCCATTGTATATATAGACCACTTTTTAAAATCCATTCATCTGTCAATAGACACTTGGGTTGCTTCCACCTCTTGGCTTTGGTGAACAATGCTGCTATGTACATGGATATGCATCTCTCTCTCCGAGATACTGTTTTCAATTATTTTGGATATATACCCAGAAGTGGAATTGCTGGGTTATATGGTAATTCCATTTTTAATTTTTTGAGGAAATGCCTCACTGCTTTCCAGAGCAGCTGCACCATTTTATTTTGATTAGCAACAGTATACAAGGGTTCAAATTTCTCCACATCCTCATCAATATTTGTTATTATCTGTGTTTTTAACCATCCTAGGGATATGAAGTGATCACTTAGTTTTAATATGTCAAAATTCAGAGAGAGGAAGATCATGAGAATCTAACATTACATATATTTGGCTGTGAGCTTAAATACTTTTAAAAGTTGCCCTTTCTTCACCTCAGAGCACAGAAACAATAATATTACAAACTAAAGTCCTCCTTTGACCCTTTTGGATTATAAGACTTTTGAATTCTCTGCAAAGGGAAAGTGGAGATGAATTTTGTCAAAAGCATGAGTAAGTTAGGAGGAAGGGTTGCATTTTTTTTTTCCAGAAAAGGAAATGAAGGTTTTTATTATTGTGGTTTTATTTTTAATTTCAAAATAGAGACTTAGCCACAAATTTCTTTATAATTAATGAAGAACAGTAGCTTTGCTGAAATTATTTATATCTTCCTCTGTTGTGTGTGACGAAAGTCTTTAATTATGTGAGCCAATCAAAGTTTCTAGTTAATGAGGAAACCTGCTTAGCTTAGCTTGGTATGTAACTTGACTTGACCTCTGTCTTTGAAGCTTCACTGGGGCTTGAAACAATGCTGTTCTTTCAAGTTCAGTTCCTCAAATGAAAGTTTTTTGGGAATACAAAGGTACAATATGAGTTCTGTAAGCCTTCCAGTTCAAGCAGATTCCAATAGACAGAAAATATAAATATAACGGAAAAAACAATTTGTGAATAAATAGAGCAGGTGTTGGCAAACTTTTTGTGAAGAGGACCAAACAGCTGATACTTAAGGCTTTGCAGGTCACACTGTCTCTGTGGAAATGACTCAATTCATCTGTAGCAGCTGCAGACAGTATGCAAATGGATGTATGTGGCTGCGTTCCAATAAAACTTTATTTACAAAAATATGCAGTGGGATGGATTTGGCCTATGGGTCATAGTTTGTTAACCCCTGTTGTAGAAGACCCAAAGGAAAGAACTTTGAAAATTGGGGTCTTTTTTCAAAAGTAGAAGAGGAACAAGCTTTCAAACTCTGGGCAAAAAAAAAAAAAGGCAAATAGCAAAATTAACCCTCTTGATATGATTTCTCTAACTAAGTATAAAACTGTGGCTTTCATGTAAAAAAAAATTATTTCATGGCTCCATGTCATGTTCAAGCTTCTGATCCTTGATCTAAAGAAGCTCAAGATGGATGAAAATCAACGTAAGCTTATATGTGAAACCCTAAGTCCTAACTCTTCCTTGCAAGATCATATTTAACTTGACAAACAAGAAAATGTCAGGAGACAGCCAGGAAGTGCATCCTTAAACAGAAGTCACTCAACAAATGCTTTTTGGTATATAAGGAAACAACATTTTCCTAATGAACATACAATCGAAGGCTCCAAGGTCACCACTGGAAGGAAATGCACCTAGTTAGTGGGTGGCTGGGCCAAGGTGCCTCTGACAACCACTCATTTTCCCCTTTGAGTTTCTCCCAAGGTGGTGACAAAGACTCTCTCCTTGAACAAACTTGAGACAGTTCCTCTGAGGTCTCTTTCCAACTAGGCTTCAACCTTGGCCTGTAAGAACTACAACATTCAGTACAAATGATTTCACCCACTTTTCAACACTAAGGGACTTGAACAAACACTACCACAGTTTCTAGCAGCTCAAAGCCATGTCCCTAGGAAGATAATCCCAGTAACCTTAAAATGCCTGCCTGAGAAGGTTCAACACCACCAAAAATATTTGCTGTTTGTTCTAATCAACACTTGAAAATAGACCCCTAAATTCCCTTTTCTTGGAGCATTTACTTTAGAAAGCTTACAATTGTAAATCCTTTCTCTGGGCCTTTGAGATGTACATGTATCTTCTACAACCCAGGAACGTCTTTCCAGAGACCTGGGAGCCATCTCTTTGACATGTAATCATTGAGAAGTATTAAGCCCCCATCTTCCAGTCTCTGGGGGAGGCTAGGAACCTAATTTCAATAAGCACCAGTTAGCACACACAGATGGCCTCATCACATCCCTTAAGGCCCTTCAGTATGTTTCCTTTAGTAGCTCCCAGTGCTTATGAGGACTCCTACATTTTAGTTTCCATAAAGTTGAGCTCAGTATACACTGGGGTCTCTCTCCTACTGCAGAAGTACTGGAGAAAATCCATCTCACTGCCTTTAATTAGCATCTGGCTTTCTTTCTCTTTGACAATGGTTGCTGTTCCATGCTGCCTTCAGGGGAAACTGCTCTATCTTTAATGCTCAGGACACAAGAGGGTGAGAATTCTCTCCCCTTATTTTCCTTAGCATGTCTTGAGATATAGCACCATTCCTATTCCAGGAGGCCCAAGCCGACTTTCTGAATAAGGTTTTACAGGTGAGCCCAACAGACATATTTTTCTCTTCTACCAAGAGCTTGTCCTCTCAGTTTTGTATTTCTGGAGAAACAAGACTCTCTCCCTAGTGAATGATGCCAGCAATGGCCTCAATCATTTCCATTCTCAGCGCACAAATGCATGGGTCACCTGTGCAGCATGAACACATCTTAGCATGAAAACCGTTGCATGGGATTCAAACAACAGGAACTGCTAAACATAGAAACTTGAATGTTATTTAATCTTTATTTTAGATAACAGAGGACAGAAAACGGTACATAGATGAATTAATTCAAATAGTTTAACTTTCAAAAATTCCATTCTGAATGTAGAATTTCTGAATTAAGTTGACATTTCCAAAACCAGTTCAGTTATTCATTTATTCTATCACCACATACCGAGTTTCTTCATAGTTAAGACATTGGAATAGGTTTAGGTAATAGGCACATTCCATTAACTCAATGCCTAGGTACATCTTGAAAAATTACTTTTTATGTTCTATAAAAAGAAAAACAGAGCAGAAACAACCAAACCAAAACCAAATGCCTCCTGTTTCTAGGCTTTGAAAACATCCTTGCATATTCTGGGAAGAAAAGACTGTTCATTGATTAACTCAAGCTGCCTTAGTGACTAATTTGCCCCAATGCTCTCCAAACATAGCTTTTCCCCCATAACAAAATACAAGCATACCTTGTCTTAGTGCTTAGAAGACAGCATTTTATACAAATTGAAAGCTGAAAGCTGGTGACAACTCTGGATTGAGCAAGTCTATCGGCACCATTTGTTCAACAGCATGTGCTTACTTTGGGTCTCTGTGTCACATTTTGATAATTCTTGCAATTTTTCACACTTTTCATCATCATTAGGTCTGTTATGGTGATCTGTGATTATGGCGATCTGATCTTTGATGTTACTATTGTAATCGTTTTGAGGTGCCACAAATCACACCCATATAAGACAGTGAACTTAATTGATAAATGAAGTGTGTGTTCTGACTGTTCCATTGAGCTGCCATTTCCCATCTTTCTCCCTCTCCTCAGGCCTCCCTATTCCCTGAGACACAACAATATTGAAACTGGGCCAGTTAACAACCCTACAAAGATCTCTAAATGCTCAAGTGAAAGGAGGAGTCGCATTATCTTTCATATTAAATCAAAAACTAGAAATGATTAAGCTTAGTGAGGAAGCATGTCGAAAGGTGAGACAGGCCAAAAGCCAGGGCTTCTTTCGCCAGTTGGCTAACTGGCCAAAGTGCTACTTCAGTGAATACATGAATGATAAACAAGTGAAACAGCCTTGTTGCTGATATGGAGAAAGTCTAAATAGTTTGGATAGAAGATCAAACCCAGCCACAATATTCCCTTAAGCCAAAGACTGATCCGGAGCAAAGCCTAACTCTCTTCAATTCTATGAAGGCTGAGAGAGGTGAGGAAGCTGTGGAAGAAAAGTCTAAAACCAGCAGAGTTTGATTCATGAGTTTTAAGGAAAGAAGCTGTCTCCATAACATAAAAGTGAAAGGTGAAGCTGCAAGTGCTGATGGAGAAGCTGCAGCAAGTTATTCAGAAGACCTAGCTAAGAGCATTGAGGTGGCTACACCAAATAGATTTTCTTTTTTTTTTTTAGGATACGTTCATTTTATAGAATACTTTTGGGTCAAAAAACATGATGGAAAATTCCAGTAAAGTACAGTGAGAATAATGACAAGAAGCATGGAAAGCTGGAAGAATGGTATAATAATATGCAGGTTAAAAGTGGCAGCTATAATCTCACTTTTATATAAATACATGTGCAGACAAAAATATCTGGAAGGGTATACATTAAAACACTAAAGGTAGTTGTTTCTGAACAGGGTGACTTTTTTTTCCTCCACTATTTGCTTATGGACATTTTCTCTTTTTTTTTCTATTTCAAATACATTTTTATTTATTTTTTATTTTTATTTTTTCCCCTAGAGATGGGTCTCTAGAGAAATGCATTGCCCAGGCTGGTCTTGAACTTCTGGGCTCAAGCCATACCCCCTTCCCTCAGCCTCCCAAAGTGCTGAGATTATAGGCATGAGCCACCGTACCTGGCCTAAAATACGTTTTAATTAAAAAAATTAAAATGTGTTTTCCACATTAGTCTCTTTCTGTCTTTATCTCTGTCTGTCTTTGTCTCTATATATTGTCTTTACTGATAGCACTGAATTTTAAGGTCACAGCTGCTTTAAGATTAACAAAGTGATTAAGACCTGTGGGCTAAGAAACGGTTTTCTTTGACTTGCAAATGTATCCAGATGAAAAGTCTTCTCAGTGTAATAAATCGCTGTAATAATCCTTGAACACTTGGCAAATGCCTTTGATTGAGAAAAGTCAGTTGCATGAACTGGGGCTGACCTGAAGAATTACGGAGTCTGCATCCGGGGTGCAGGGCAGGTGTACAATGTCTAACAGCGACTCCGCAGGGCAGCTGGGGACGCACAGGGCTCCCAGAATGATAGGGCGGTTCCAAATACACCAGCCTCCCAGAAACGTGGCCCTGGCGATCTAAAGACCTTCAGATCCCAGGACTGCCCTACCGGATTCAGTGTCTAATGAATGGCAGGTGTTAGGAGGCAGGCAGGGGTTTCTTGTGGCAAATCCTGATTCACAGCTGGAAGATGGATTTCTGCCCTCAGGAAAGCGGTTTAGTGGGAGGTGGTGAGAGTTAGCTGAAATTTCCAATAAAACGCAGTCAGAGCAGTGAGCTAGTGGGCACAGGAGAGCCTCAGTCAGTGGCTCAGTTATCTTCTAGTAAAACAATGGAAGAATTGGCAATTTTCTTCATATTTCATTTTCCTGACATGCAGGATGGTGAAGTGGCGAAGAGCCTGACTCTGGAAATAGCGAGAAGGGGTTTACGCTCTGGCTCTGTGTGTACTCGGGTAGGTTACCTAAGTACTCTATATCTCAGTTTATCAGCCCCTGAAATGGACGTAGAGTCCCCTGCCTCATGGAATTACTGTGATAATTTTTTTTTTTTTTTTTTTTTTTTTTTTAGTATTTATTGATCATTCTTGGGTGTTTCTCGGAGAGGGGGATTTGGCAGGGTCATAGGACAATAGTGGAGGGAAGGTCAGCAGATAAACATGTGAACAAGGGTCTCTGGTTTTCCTCTGCAGAGGACCCTGCGGCCTTCCCCAGTGTTTGTGCCCCTGGGTACTTGAGATTAGGGAGTGGTGATGACTCTTAAGGAGCATGCTGCCTTCAAGCATCTGTTTAACAAAGCACAACTTGCACCGCCCTTAATCCACTTAACCCTGAGTGGACACAGCACATGTTTCAGAGAGCAAGGGGTTGGGGGTAAGGTTATAGATTAACAGCATCCCAAGGCAGAAGAATTTTTCTTAGTACAGAACAAAATGGAGTCTCCCATGTCTACTTCTTTCTACACAGACACAGCAACAATCTGATTTCTCTTTCCTTTCCCCACACTTCCCCACCTTCCACTCGACAAAACCGCCATCGTCATCATGGACCCTTCTCAATGAGCTGCTGGGTACACTTCCCAGACGGGGTGGCGGCCGGGCAGAGGCGCCCCCCACCTCCCTCCCGGACAGGGCGGCTGGCGGGGCGGGGGCTGCCCCCTACCTCCCTCTGGGACGGGGTGGCTGGCCGGGCGGGGGCTGCCCCCCACCTCCTGGAGGGGGCGGCTGCCAGGCGGAGACGCTCCTCACTTCCCAGACAGGGCGGCTGCCGGGCGGAGGGGCTCCTCACTTCTCAGACGGGGCGGCAGGGCAGAGACACTCCTCACCTACCAGATGGGGTGGTGGTCGGGCAGAGACACTCTTCAGTTCCCAGACGGAGTCGCGGCCGGGCAGAGGCGCTCCTCACATCATAGACGGGGTGGCGGGGCAGAGGCGCTCCCCACATCTCAGACGATGGGCGGCCGGGCAGAGACACTCCTCACTTCCTAGACGGGATGGCGGCCGGGAAGAGGCGCTCCTCACTTCCTAGATGGGATGGCGGCTGGGCAGAGACGCTCCTCACTTCCCAGACTGGGCGGCCGGGCAGAGGGGCTCCTCACATCCCAGACGATGGGCGGCCAGGCAGAGACGCTCCTCACTTCCCAGACGGGGTGGCGGCCAGGCAGAGGCTGCAATCTCGGCACTTTGGGAGGCCAAGGCAGGCGGCTGGGAGGTGGAAGTTGTAGCGAGCCGAGATCACGCCACTGCACTCCAGCCTGGGCAACATTGAGCACTGAGTGAGCGAGACTCCGTCTGCAATCCCGGCACCTCGGGAGGCCGAGGCTAGCAGATCACTCGCGGTTAGGAGCTGGAGACCAGCCCGGCCAACACGGCGAAACCCCGTCTCCACCAAAAAAAATACGAAAACCAGTCAGGTGTGGCGGCGCGCGCCTGCAATCCCAGGGACTCGGCAGGCTGAGGCAGGAGAATCAGACAGGGAGGGTGCAGTGAGCCGAGATGGCGGCATTACAGTCCGGCCTCCGTTTGGCATCAGAGGGAGACCGTGGAGAGAGAGGGAGAGGGAGAGGGAGACTGTGGGGAGAGGAAGAGGGAGAGGGAGACTGTGGGGAGAGGGAGAGGGGGAGGGGGAGGGGGAGGGGGAGGGGGAGGGGGAGGCCAAATAGATTTTCAATGGAGACGAAATAACCTTCTATTGGAAGATGCCATCTAGGATTTCTTACGGGGGAGCAAAGAAAGCAGTTTCTTGAGATGGGAGTCTACTACTGATAAAGATGCTGTGAACATTCTTAAAATGACCAAAAAGGATTGAGAATATTATATTAACTTAGTTGAGAAAGCAGCAGCAGGGTTTGAGAGGACTGACTCCAATTTTGAAGGAAGTTCTACTGTGGGTAAAATGCTATCAAACAGCATCACATAGTGCCAAAAAATCGTTCATGAAAGGAAGGGTCAATCAATGCTACAAGCTCCATTGTTGTCTTATTTCAAGAAATTGCCACAGCCGCCCCAACCTTTAGCAACCCTGATCAGTCAGTAATCATCAACATAGAATCAAGGCCCTCCATCAGCAAGAAGATTATGACTTGCTGAAGCCTCCGATGATCATTCACTTTTTTTTTTTTTTTAGCAATACGGTATTTTTAAATTAAGGTATGTACATTGTTTTTTGGACATGATGCTTAATGGCTACAGTGTAGCATAAACATAACTGTTACATGCACTGAGAAACACCAACATGTGTGTGACTTGCTTTACTGAAATACTCACTTTATTTCAGTGGTCTGGAACCAAGCCTGCAACATCTCAGTGGTCTCTCTAAAAATAGGAATCACCATCACTATGTCACAAACCATGACATCGTGAATAGACACTTAGTAAGCATCTGCTGCGGGCAAGACATGGAGGACAGTGGGAGAGCACGGGTGTCTGCAGAACATGCAATCTAACTAGGGCACAGTCTCTAGAGAAAGCTGATAAGCTGAGGGCCATGTGATGAGAAGAGAGACTAGGGGCTGCTATGGGCTTAGAGGAGGGAGCAGTCCCCACAGGCAGGTGCCAGTAGGTGAGACTTGCGCTGGAACTGGAAGGGAAAGAGTTTGGCTCCATGATGACCTGAGCCAGGAAGTGCCACTAGTTCATCAGAACTAGAACAAAGACCTCAACCAGTTCTCCCACTGAGTTATTGTAACTCCTCTGAGTTACTAAATCTGAAAGATTCTTTTGAGTGGGTTAGTACTTAAACCTCTACTGTAATAGATGAATTTGATGCCTGAGATGAGAGTCAATTGTTTACAGTCATGGAGTGGGTGACTATTTGAATTTCTTCAAATTTAAAGGGGTCTAGTGCACTGTTTTACTTACAGTGGTTCTTGGAAAGGATGCTGGAAAAAAGGAGATTAGGAAATATGAAAGTCAGATTTTGAATGACAGCTGAGTTCAGCTTCTTTTTCTAAACTTCCAGCTTTGTGAATTCCCTTTCTACATTAATAAAATAACAGGAAAGGATTAAGGGAGGTTATGTTTGTGTTTGAGGTACAGTCAAATGATTGAAATGCATCCTCTAAAATATTTAACAGGTCTACCCAACCATTCTGAGCAAGCTTTAAAAATATTTTAACCATTTTCAAAGCAGAATGCCACATGTTATCAAATTAAAGGAAGATAAAATCTCTCAAAAATTTAAACAGGATTTTGAACTGAAGGAATTTAAAAATAAACATTGCTCTTAACTTATTGAGAGTTACAGAAATTTTTTTATTTCAATTGTTTTTGGGTAACAGGTGGCTTTTGGTTACATTGATAAGTTCTTTAGTGATAATTATTGAGATTTTGGTGCACCCATTCATCCGAGCAGTGTATGCTGTACTCAATGTGTAGTTTTTTACCCCTCATCCCCCTCCAACCCTTCCCCGCAAGTCCCCAAAGTCCATTATATCATTCTTATGCCTTTGCATCCTCATAGCTTAGCTCCCACTTATAAATAAGAACATACAATATTTGGTTTTCCATTCCTGAGTTACTTCACTTAGAATAATGGTCTCCAACTCCATCCAGGTAATTGTGAATGCCATTATTTCATTCCTTTTTATGGCTGAGTAGTATTCCATGGTGTGTGTGTGTGTGTGTGTGTGTGTGTGTGTGTGTGTGTATGTGTATATATATATGTGTGTGTGTGTATATACACACATATATATACATATATATGTGTATATATATGTATATATATGGTAGTTTTGATCATAAAGGGATGCTGGAATTTGTCAAATGCTTTTTCTGAACCTATTGAGATGATCACATGATTTTTGTTTTTAATTCTGTTGATGTGCTGTATCACATTTATTCACTTGTATATGTTAAACCAACCTCACATCCCTGGTATGAAACCCACTTGATCATGGTGTATTATCTTTTTGATATGCAATTGGATTCAGTTAGCTAGTATTTTCTTAAGGATTTTTGCATCTATATTCATCAGGGATATTGGTCTGTAGTTTTCTTTTTTTGTTATGTCCTTTCCTGGTTTTGGAATTAGAGTGATACTGGCTTCACAGAATGATTTAGGGAGGATTCCCTCTTTCTCTATCTTTTGGAATAGTTTCAGTAAGATTGGTACCAATTCTCCTTTGAATGTCTGATAGAATTCAGCTGTGAATCCATCTGGTCCTGGACCTTTTTTATTGGCAATTTTTAAATTACTTTTTCAATCTCACTGCTTGTTATTGGTCGTTCAGAGTTTCTATTTCTTTCTAATTTAATCTGGGAGGGTTGTATATTTCCAGGAATTTACCCATCTCCTCTAAATTTTCTAGTTTGTGTGTGTAAAGGTGTTCACAGCAGCCTTGAATAATCTTTTGTATTTCTGTGGTATTGGTTGTAATATCTCCTGTTTAATTTCTAATTGAGCTTATTTGGATCTTGGATCTTTTCTTGGTTAATCTCACTAGAGGTCTATCAAATTTGTTTATCTTTTCAAAGAACCAGTTTTTTTTGTTTCATTTATCCTTTGTAATTTTTTTTGTTTCAATTTCATTTAGTTCTGCTCTGACCTTTTTGTTTTGTTTTGTTTTTGTTTTTGTTTTTCTGCTGGATTTGGGTTTGGTTTGTTCTTGTTTTTCTAGTTCCTTGTGGTATGACATTAGATTGTCTATTTGCACTCTTTCAGACTTTTTGACATAGGCTATGAACTGTCCTCTTTGTACCACCTTTGCTGAAGCCTAGAGGTTTTGGTAAATTGTGTCACTATTATTGTTCAGCTCAAAGAATTTTTAAATTTCCATCTTGATTTCATTGTTGACCCAAAGAGCATTTAAGAGCAGATTATTTAATTTCCATGTATTTGTATAGTTTTAGGGGCTCCATTTGGAGTTAATTTCCAGCTTTATTCCATTGTGGTTTGAGAGGATACTTGGGGTACTTTCAATTTTCTTAAATTTATTGAGACTTGTGTTGTGACCTATTATATGGTCTATCTTGGAGAATGCTCCATGTATTAAAAAAAATGTATATTCTACAGTTGTTGGGTAGAATGTTCTGTAAATATCTGTTAAGTCCACTTATTTTAGTGTATAATTTAAGTCCATTGTTTCTTTGTTGACTTTCTGTTGTGATGACCTGTCTAGTGTTGTCAGTGGAGTATTGAAGCCCCTCCACTATTATTGTGTTGCTGTCTAACTCATTTCTTAGGTCTAGTAGTAATTATTTTATAAATTTGGGAGCTCCAGTGTTAGGTGCATATATATTTAGGATTGTGATACTTTCCTGCTGGACTATTCCTTTTATCATTATGTAAGTCCCTATTTTTTTTTAACTGTTGTTGCTTTAAAGTCTGTTTTGTCTGATACAAGAATAGCTACTCCTGATCACTTTTGATTTCCATTTGCATGGAATATCTTTTTCTACTCCTTTACCTTAAGTTTACATAAGTCCTTATGTGTTAGATAAGTCTCTTGAAGACAGCAGATATTTGGTTGGTGGATTTTTTTATTCATTCTGCCATTATATTTTAAGTGGAGCATTTAGGCCATTTACATTCGATGTTAGTATTAAGATGTGAGGTACTGTTCTATTCATTATGTTAGTTGGTGCCTTAATACCTCGTGTTTTTTTTCCACTGTGTTATTGTTTTATAGGCCCTATGAGATTTGTGCTTTAAGGAGGTTCTATTTTGCTGTATTTTGAGGTTTTGTTTCAAGATTTAGAACTCTTTTTAGCATGTCTTGTAGTGCTGGCTTAGTAGTGGCAAATTCTCTCAGCATTTGTTTGTCTGAAAAAAGGCTTTATCTCTCCTTCATTTATGAAACTTAGTTTCACTGAATACAAAATCCTTGGCTGACAATTATTTTATTTCAGGAGGGTGAAGATGGGACCCCGATCCCTAATGACTTGTAAGGTTTCTGTTGAGAAATCTGCTGTTAATCTGATGGGTTTTTCCTTTATAGGCTACCTGATACTTTTGTCTCACAGCTCTTAAGATTCTTCCTTTCATCTTGACTTTAGATAGCTTGATGAATATGTGCCTAGGTGATAATCTTTTTGCAATGAGTTTTCCAGGTGTTCTTTGAGCTTTTTGTATTTGGATGTCTAGATCTCTAGCAAGGCCAGGGAAGTTTTCCTCAATTATTCCCTCAAATAAGTTTTCCAGACTTTTAGATTTCTCTTCTTCCTCAGGGAATGCCAATTATTCTTAGGTTTGGTGATTTAACATAATCTCAATTTTCTTGGAGGCTTTGTTCATTTAAAATTTTTTTTCATTGTCTTTGTCTGATTGGGTTAATTCAAAAGCCTTGTCTTCAAGCTCAGAAATTATTTCTTCTACTTCTTCTAGACTATTTTTGACACTTTCCACTGCATTTTGTATATATCTAAGTGTATCTTTCACTTCCAGAAGTTGTGATTGTTTTTTCTTTGTGATATCTGTTTCTCTGGGGCATTTTTCATCCATATCCTACATTTAAAAAAAAATTTATTTAAGTTGGTTTTCACCGTTCTCTGTTATCTCCTTGAGTAGCTTAATATTAATAATTAAATTTCTAAATTATTTATCTGACAATTCAGATTTTTTTTTTAGTTTGGATCCATTGCTGGGAAGCTGGTATGATCGGGGGTATTACAGAACACTGTTTTATCATACTACCAGAACTACTTTTCTGGCTTCTTCTCATTTGGGTAGACTAATTCCATGGAGAAGTTTGAAACTCAAGGGCTGCTGTTCAGATTTTCTTGTCCCAAGGGGTGACCCCTTGATGTTGTGCTCTCCCCCTTCCCCTAGGGATGGGGCTTCTTGAGACCTGGACTGCAGTGACTGTTATTGCTCTTCTGGGTCTAGCCACTCAGCAGGGCAACAGGCTCTGTCTGAGCTGATGCTGGGGGATGTCTGCAAAGAGTCCTGTGATGTGATTTTTCTTCAGGTCTCCCAGCACCTGCTCTGGTAGAGGTGGCAGGGAAGTAAATTAGACTCTATGAGAGTCTTTGGTTATAAATATGTCTGGTGTGCTGGCTTTCTTGAATGCTGGTTATGCTAGTGGTGAAGCTGTCAAGTGTACACCTGCAGGACCTCTAGTTAGCCAGGATATTGCAGGCAGCAGAATTAGATGTTGTCTTCTCCTTCCTGGAATCAGAGTAATTTTGTTCTGAGTTGCTGTAATGGCCTAAGTTGGTTGGCCTCTAGTCAGGAGGTGGCACTTTCAAAAGACTACCACCTGCAGTAGTAGTAGGGGGCTCTAAGCTTGCCCTATGATGGCCAGGGTAAGTATTTTGGTTTCTCAGATGATGGGTGGGGCCATAAAGCTCCCAAGAGTTTTCTTGCTTTGTGTTCAGCTACCAGGGCCAGCAGGGAAATACCATTAGGTGGGGGCAGGGTTAGGCGAGTCTGGGCTCAAACTCTTCTTGGGTGGGGCTTGCCAAGGCCACTGTGGGGGATAGGGGAGTGGTTCCCAGGCCAATGGGGTTACTTTCCAGAGGGTATCTTGGCCACCTCTGCTGTGTCATACAGTTTGCCAGGGGCATGGGGGATAGCTGGTAGCAAGAGGCGTCAAGAAGCCTCACTCAGCTCCCATGCAGTTGGTGAGGCCGGTCTCGCTCCCACAGTGTTCCCTTGGCACTGTGCTGTGCCATTTCTTTCAAAGGCTCTGTGAATTATTTTGGTTTTCCTGGTACATTCCTGCAGTGGTTCTTGGAGCAAAATATGACGTGTGAGTCTCCACACGCTGTTCTGTCTATTCATGTGGGAGCTACACGTTAGCCCTGTTTCGTATCTGCCATCTTCCCCCTCCTAAGAGTCACAGAAATTAAATGCAGTACCCACGTCTCTTCTCTTGTGACTTAAGTTAATTTTACAGGAATATTGGGGGCTGGTCTCACTAGTTGTGCTTTACTTCCATAAGATTCAGCCCAAACAGGAGGCTGATCCTGCCCTGGTTCCAGGACTTCACATCACCCAGGAAGGGCAACCAGACCTCAACTCTCCATTCTGCTTGAAGTCAGTGAGCACATTTTGAATGAGTTGCCTTTGAATTTCATTCATTCTTTCGACAATTTTTGTCTTGTTTTTAGCACATCCCATGTCCTAGCACAGACCTAGTCCTATAGATTGAGTGGTGAATAAGACACCTATTGTGGTATTTAAAATGCAGAGCAAATCAGAGCTAATATTGCTCTGTTCAAGTATTCTGATTCTGGTACCTCAGTTTCAGTAACTCAGTGTTTTTCTTAGTTTCATTCTTGAACTCCCTACTCTTAGGGACTAAGATCCTAGTCCTAAGGATCCTATTTCTTCTATGTTTGCCAGGGATTTTTTTTCTAGAAAAATCTAAGATCCTATTCTAGAAAAATCTAAGATCCTTATCTAGAAAAACTAAGAACCTATTTCTTCTATGTTTGCCAGGGATTTTTTTTTTCCTAAGGATTTTGCTTGAGGATGCAATTATGTACTTGAAGCTAAAGGCCTGTGGCTGAGTCTCTACTGGGTATCTCCCCAATCCTGACTACCCGCCCACCTATATTATACTCTAACTGTTTGCATTCAGGCAACTGTCTATAATTTTCCCATTCCCCTAATCATGTAAGCACATAATTTTCTATATTTCAATCCCTTACTGCACTGACATTGAGTGATGCCCCAACCATGATGGGGAGGTTGAAAAGAGGTCTGCTTTGGGCTGTAGGTGGGATGAAGGAGGTCATATTATCTTTTGGATGAATTGGGATTTTCAAATGACAACTTTTTATGGTCAACTGAATATATTTGAAGAAATGGCAAGAAATCAGAAGAAAAGAGACAACCAAACAGAGTTCAGTATCAAATCAGGGGAAGGAAATTAGAGAAAGAAATTAGATGAGAAACAACCAATGGGCAATGACTGAGTCTTAGAGGCAACCACAGTGATGAGGCTGGTTGAAAAACATTCGGCAGAAAGTACAGGGGGAAAAAGCTGTTGCTCTAACATATTTTAGGTTAGAATGTTATATGTAAGGAATACTACTAACAAGGGTTGTGTAACTATTTTGAACACCTTTAGTGGGATTTACTATATCACCAGTAAAAGTATAATTTTTAGATTTTTAAATGTTCATTTTAAAGTTACTGTTATTTCCTAGTTTGTGTAGTTAAGAAAAGGCAATTTAATTTTCCAAATAAGGAATTTTCACATTCAAAAACATACATGGAGACTCCATTTATGTCTGCATAAAACTGCATTTATGTCTCAAAAACATGTATGGAGACTGCCTGAAACGAACTTATTCTGATATACGGAAAACACAATTTTCTTCTACTACCAAGACTCCAAAGATAAGAAACAGATTTGTAGAAGAAAAAGGGGTTAAAGAGCTTTAAGTCTCAGGTTATAAACTTGAGGTGGGGATTTGACAGAACTGGCTTTATTTTAAGGCATATGAGTCTTTGTTAATTTAGAATGCACCTAAAAGGTTATTTTAAAATGCACCTGTGCAAAACTACAGGTTTGATGAGTTTTTCAATGAGGTCATGAAACTATTTTCAAGCCTCATATTGTTAGTTTATGAGAAAGTTCAGTTAAAATTTTAATTTGCCTCAATGGAGTTACAAAATGTATACTGAGCTCATAATTGCTTAACAAAAATATGTGAGAAAAAAAAAAATCGTCCAGAATGTGAGCTGAAGCGAATGGAAGAAAAAGTCTTCCCTACTGAGTCCATTTTTTCCCAATTCAAAGAAACCACTGGAATAGGTGATCCAATTAATTTTGAGAACGATTTTGAAACTCAGTTAATATTTTTTCTTTTTTATTGTTGTATTTTAAATTAGAGGAATTTCATTGTTATTAATAATTTGAAATGGATTTAACAAATTTTCTTCCTCTATGTGAACCCAGGAATTACTTCAAAATGCTTTCAGGAGTTTTAAGTCACCGTAGCATTCACTTGTCTAATCACATAGTCAAGTTTCTAGCTAGCAGAAAGCCAAGAAGTAAAGGAGCTGGCAGCACAAATTATGCATTAAAATTCACCTAGTTAAAGCATTTTGAGCATTCCCCCAGCTCCCACTCTTAGCTAGTTTATTTTAATTTTAGGTGCAATTTAAATAGGCTTTGTAGTCTGGTTTCCCAGCCCATATCTACTTAGAAACATAAATTAGAAAGCAAGAGCCTGGCTGAAAGGAGAAGCAGCAGCTTGCAGATATGAAAACGGGTGAGGGGCTTTTAAAGCAAAAAAGACAAAATCCTCCTACACCATTTATTAGCCACTGTGAGCATCATTATTCTGGGCATGGCATGGTAAGAAACATTTTAATAAGGACCCTGAAGCATTAGGAAAATATAAAACTGGTTTACTTTACACTAAGGAGAAATGGGAAATTCCATATTTTAAAGAGATGTCTATTGAAGATTGGAAATTTAAAAATTCTTTAACGCATTTAGAAAAGACAGTCCTTTGGTAAAAACAGAACATCTAATTTCCTAATGCTTAATGAAGCATTATATTTCCATAATGATGTAAACTGACATAAATCACAGGGAGACATGATTATCCATAAAGCTATAAAACTGTGCTTGATTAAGAATCAAAGAAATTAACAATTTAGTAAAGGCAGATTTATGCTACTATTTTCAAAGCACTTCAACAATTTTAACACATATTCTCAGAAATTCAGAATGATGACTTTTGCAAAGTGATGAGGCCAGAACACAGTTCTCTTAATTTTATAACATTATGTCCTTCAAACCTACTTCATTAAAATCTAGATTCCTAAAGGCCAGTGGCTAAAATTTCTGGCTTCTGTCATTAGAACATTCTACTATTTAGAGAAGAAGAGGATACTCTGGCGGGTCCCACATGGTCTCTTAATTCTTAGTCATATCTTCTTTGGTCAAACACGAGAGGATGTAAATACGGCTCCAATTAAGCCAAGATTTGTATAAACCATCCAACCCAAAGACAGGGCAAAATCTAGTACAGAAAAAAATGTCATGGCTTTCAAGCATCATATATCATCTACCCACAATACAGCATTAGAGAAACATATATGTTTATATTCTTGTATAAAAAAGTCACTTTAAATTCTTTCTGTACATTATATAGTGCACACCTTCATACTATATGAATATATGGTAAATATTAAAGAGATATGATATCAAATGTTTTTCGAATAAGTCAGAAGTCAAGGATTTTCTATTCCAACCTTCTGAGCCACAGAGGCTGTGAGAGGTTTCAGTAAAGCACACGCTTAAGGTTAACACTTAGCAAAGTGGTGCAACTAAGACCAAAAGCTAAACTCTAGTAACCACACTGTGAATCAATCCTGTCAATGTCAGATGCACACTAACATGCTGGACACAAAATTCTCTCACTTTGCATTTTATTCTTTGAATCTTATTCCCTCAAAATAACCTGATAGATATTTCATATGGACCTTACATCACGGAGTCAGGTGGGAGAAATGGAAAAGGGAAAAGGAACTTTTCCATAGTCAATGGTTAAAAATTTCTCCAGGTAGTCAGTATTGCCAAAACCTAAAAAACCTCTAGTCAGATGCTTTACTTCTACAGCCAACTTCCATACGATTCATTAGAAATAGTGTCAGTTGTTTTCATGATATGGTTTTGTTGTGTCCCCACCCAAATCTCATCTTGAATTGTAATTCCCATAATTACCCCCATGCTGCTGTTCTCATGATAGCAAGTGACTTTTCACAAGATCTGATGGTTTTTTAAGGGGCTTTTCCTCCTTTTGCTCATACTTCTCCTTCCGGCCGCCATGTGAAGAAGGATATGTTTGCTTCCCCTTCCGCCATGATTGTAAGTTTGCTGAGGCCTCCCTAGCCATGCAGAACTGAGTCAATCAAACTTCTTTCCTTTATAAATTACCCAGTCTTGGGCAGTCCTTTATAGCTGCGTGAGAATGGACTAATACAATGCATATGTTTGAAACACTGAATAAATACATTATGCTATGCTGCCAACTACAGCTTCCACTACAGATAGAAAGGGCAAACAAGAATACTGAAGCACTGTGAATCAAATGGGCATCCAGAAAAAAGTGTGGGTGTTGAAGGGCTTAAGAACATACCACCCCCAAAATATGCCACTCTGACATATTGACTATTTTGAGTTAAAGGCCCTTAAAAACCAGTAAGTATACAAAGACCATTGGTGACCTTCCTTCTATTTTCCTTTCTTTCTTTTTTACAGGGTCTCTCTCTGTCACGCAGCCTAGAGTGCAGTGGCACGACCATAGCTCACTGCAACCTCAACCTCCTGGGCTCAAGTGATCCTCCTGCCTCGGCCTCCTGAGTAGCTGAGACTACAGGCATGTGCCACCATACCCAGCTAATTTTTTTGTTGTTGTTGTTAGAGATGGGGTCTCACTCTGTTGCCCAGGCTGGTCTCAAGCCCCTGGCCTCAAGCAATTCTCCCACCTCTGCCTCCCAAAGTGTTGGGATTACAGGCGTGAGCTACCACTCCTGGCTTCTTCCTTCTGTTTCTTAAAAGCAGGTGATAATTTCCATGTGAAAGATGCCCTTCTTACACCAGAAGGAAAGTATTCTTATCGTCAAGCAAAGGAGATCGAGGCCCAGAGAAATCTATTTAAACCAACCTTGTTAAACGAACCCTTATCTTCCTAGCCACTTCTCCACCCAATTAACTACCTTAGCCCAAACCGCTTTACCTTGTTATATTTTCGTAATTTACTGCTCTGTCCAATTCAGCATATAAGTGTTCATTTCTGTGTCTTAATTTTCATTTCTTGACGAAGGCTCCCATTGTAAAACTTGCATTAAATACATTTGTATACTTTTCTCCTGTTGATTCTGTCTTATATCAATGTAACTCTCAGGCCCAGCCAAAAAACTTGAAAAGAATAGAGGTAAAAATTTGCCTCTCCTACGATGTATATAGTAAAGTTTTGACAATTGGTTAGAAGTACAGATTTCTGTAGTCCAATAGACCTGAGCACAAATTCCATATCTACCATTTACTAATTGTGTGATCCTGGGCAAGTTACTGAACCTCTTTACATTTTAGTTTCCTTGTTTGTAGAGCAGAAAAATATTTATCACATAAGGTGGTGCGATATTTAAATGAGCCCAGATATGCACTTAACACATGGTGGATATTTAGCTTGTATACCATGGTGGGTCACCTTTTTAAATGAGCCAAGAAATGCACTTAATATGTGGTAGATATTTAGCTTGGATACCACTGTGGGCCGCCTTTTTGGTTCTAGGGCTAAGAGGCTTGTTCAAGGCCATTCTTCAGTGGGAAGAGTTTGGTCTCTTGATGCAAACCATCTCTCCATTCTGCTAACTTGCAGAGGTTCAGCTAGCATTTAGTACACTTTCAACAGCAAGTAATATTTTATGGGCATCTGGGTTTGTCCTTCTTGCAAATTTTAAGAAGTAAATAGTGAAATTCTTTCTTCCTTCCTTTCCTGCCCTTCTCTTTCTCCCTGCCCCTCCAGACATTTATTTGGCACGTACTAGGTACCAGATACACTGATGTTTATTGTTACTTAAATGTAAATGCAGTACTTTTGCCAATTAGTGAACTGACTAACATAAATTCTAATTTACACACACTCACACACAGCCAATTCAGTTGTATGATTTGAACCATTTTTCTTTCTTCTTGCACCATTATTTGGTCTGAGTCCCGAGAAGGAAATCTTACTTGAATAACATAAATGTTTTTAAATATTATTAAATTCTTAATATCAAATATTAACCAAGCACAGATGCACAATCTGGACATCTTCCATGTGGAAATATCTTCATACAAAAGGCATTTATTTAATTTGGACTATGTTTAACATTTTTTTTTTTTGAGACAGGGTCTCACTCCTGCTGCCCAGGATGGAGCGTAGTGGTACGATCATGGCTCACTGCAGCCTCAACTTCCCAGGCTCAGGCAATCCTCCCACCTCAGCCTCCCAAGTAGCTGGGACTATAGGTGTGCACCACCAAGTCTGGCTAATTTTTTGTATTTTTAGTAAAGATGGGGTCTTGCCATGTTGCCCAGGCTGGTCTCAAACTCCTGGGCTCAAGTGATTTGCCTGCATTGGCCTCCCAAAGTGCTAGGATTACAGGCATGAGCTGCCATGCCCAGAAACACAATATTTTTTAAAGCACAAGAAATATACCACTAGATATTGGGGATTTTTAATTTAAATTCTTTAATTTTTTATGAATTTTTAAGAGTGACATATTTTTTCCTTTGCTGGAGGGAGACAGAAGATAAAGTCATAGGAGTAGAAATTATAAATTACTTTTCAATAGGTTTCTTCCATTGAAGCTAGCATAAAAAATGACTGAAAGGTAAATGAGAACAACTTCTAAAAGCTGCTGGTCTTAAAAACAGATAAAATCAAGCTACATACAAAAAAAAAAATCCAGTGCAATAGAAAGACTACCATTGTATTTACAAATCAGAATACAAATACAAATTAGAGCAGAACAGATATTTGAGAATTTTCAGGAAAAATCCCTTCTAAAACCATCTAAGACTGCCACTATAGCAGGAAATTATTACAGTTGATTCTTGTTACTCTTCATCTGTCCCTGGCTTCTCCACTCCTCTGCAGCTGGTTTTCAACTTTCTCTGGTTTGCTTAGTCAATTCACCTGCTTCCCAGCCGTGAAAGTTTGAGGACTTTTCTCTTTCCTTTTGCCTCTTCCACTGTTCTCATTGTCCTGTGGATTCATGCCTCTATGCCCCTTTATCATTTTACTGGTGCTTCAGGAGTAGATGGAGACAAAGTTCTGTGTTCAACACCCTACCAGGACATCTTTAGTTTGAATCTCAAGATTTGGGTCATATTAAGGACTGGCCATTTTTGTCCTCTCAAATTCCTATATTTAAGATCTAACCTCCAATGGGTGATGGGATTATAAGAAAAGACACCATATAAGACATAGACATACTTATAAGAAGAGACACCAGAGAGCTTGCTGGCTTTCTCCATCACGTGAGCACACAGTGAGAAGGCGGCTGTTTGCAAGCCAAAGAGAGAGCCCTTACCAGAACCCCACCATGCGGGCACCCTTATCTCAGCCTTCCAGCCTCTAAAGCTGTGAGAAATAAATTTCTGTTGTTTAAGCCTCCTAGACTGTGGTATTTTGTTATGGCAGCGCAAGCTAACAAACATGGGTTTGTGTCTTTAATAAAAAGGCCTTTAGAGATATGAATGAAACAATATTTGACTAAGGATAAAGGCAATTTTGAACTGTCTTAGTGGCCAAAATGTCCACAGGTGAGGGGGGTATGAAGGAACAATAAAATGACCAAATGACTGAGTCATGTGAGCCTGTTCATTGGACACCAACTACTGCATGTGCATACCTAAATGCTCTCGGATGATTTTGTATTATAGGGAACATACATAGTTATTTTATTGACTCATTTCAGAAAATAAATGGAAACAGATGTTATTATAGCCTTCAGTGACATGAGCCCCAGGAACACAATTTATTGGGAACTCCATGGTATGGGAAGCTGTGCTCTGTGGCATCCCAAGTCGGGTGGGATGCATCACTCTCCTAGCATCAACAAGAGGTCCCAATGGTAGCTTCTGGTTAAAATGCTGTGGGGAGGGAGACCTGCTTAGATTTTGGAGCAGTGCTTATAACCCAGCTCTCTGCAGTTCATACTCCCACATCCCTTGGATTCTTTTGATGAGGATCTTGGCTCAGCCTTTTGGATAGTGGGGGCACTCTATTTCCTTGGATCATCTGCACATGGGAGGACCTGCATCCCCCACCCAGCTAAGATAGCAAGCTCCCTGATTCCTTTGAGACTTGGGCTGTCTGACTTCGGGTGCAGGGTTCTTCATCTTCAAACCTGCCATTTGAAATACTGCACCTCAGGACTGCCTGTGTCCCCAGCCTCTGCCTCAGACCACACACCACTGTGAAGCCTGAAAGCATGCAACTCCTACCTGGCCCGGGCCACAGGTAACACAAGGGAATGTGATGGGAGCCTCTAGTGTGTGTGAGTCACAACATATACAAACACAATTCATCATGGTTTTGATTTCAACCTGCTGTTCTTTTTTCTGTTTCAGAAGAATGGTTATGCACATTGGCACTCTTGTCAAAATTTCAGTGATTCACAACAACAACAAAACACCCCAACTATACCCCTCCACCCTCAAATCGGCAAGAATGAAAGATAGCTTCTAATTTCATGGAGGATATTAATGACTTTCATTTTCCCTCATCAAAGCTGGCTGTAGGATCTAAATTTAGGTGGCCTTCCTGTTCCCATTTTAATATACACACCCATTATAAGCCTTTAAATGTTTAATGCTTTGCACCTGGGTGAGAGAAAGGGCCAAGCTGTTAAGCTCCTTGCTCTCCTTCTTGTCCTTCATTTATACTTCCATGACAGCCCCATTCAATGCTAACTCTGCTCCTCACTGTAAGAATATACAGATTTGGAGATTCCCTCAAAACCTTTAAAATGTTCCCACTACTAAATCTGATCCCTGGGGAGCTCAGCTGGGATTTCCCCATGCAGAGGGGAGAAAGGCAATGCGATTCTCTCCTAAGTCATTACCTACACCCAGGAGCTGGATACAGGCTGAGCTGGCTTTAGGTGAAATCATATAAGAAATGTTTATCTTCATATCCAAGCTATTTATTCTTTCACTCTTTTTTGGGGGGCCCTTTTCTCCTCCCAAGTTCTGAGAGCCACACTCTGGGAAATTTGCTACGTTCTTGATTTTTCTTTATGTTACTTCCAAATTCATCTTGTGAGCACTTCCTGAGACACTTCCCTGGTTTCTAAGAAGCCAGGTAATTAAACAAAATGAAAGAAACAAAAAACACTGAATATGTGCTGCCTCGAATGAATATTTGTATGGCACTGTGCAAGCTCATAGGTAGTAACCCTTGTTTGTCTTTAAAAGAACTAAAGACAGTGACTTTAACTCACAGAGTTGATCTCATGCTGAGAGCATCAGGCTAGACTGGATAAGTGGTCCTTCCGATGGCCCTAAAATCATGCCATGTACTCTCTAAGGGAATTATACCTAACAGTATCTTCCAATTTCCAAAAGTTGAATTCTCTTTAAAAATAAAAAAGTACACATACAAAAGATTTTAAGTATTTAAAAGTAGAAAGATCAGTACAATGAACCCCCATCTACTCATCCCCCATTTCAACAACTGTCACTAAAATTCTTACAAGTTTGACAAACAAATTGCCCTCATTCTAGCGGGAAAGTCCTGTATTGGGTAAGCCAATATATCAATAGCTTGACATTGTCAGGACACGTTAACCTACAAGCACCATGCTGATGTGCACACACATTTTTAAAGCTTTACTTCTTCTGACAGTTACGAAGCTCTTCTGAGATCAGGTGTGGAGGAAGCTCACCACATCTCTTCCCTTGGGAGGGTTCAACTTCACCTAATTACAGACATAAGCTGAATATGAATTTGGGGAATCAATCAGTAGCAGGTTATGCAATGCCAATTAAAAATAACCTTTGAAAATACAAGATACCTAGATGTAAAACACAAAGTCCTTACATACTGAAACTCTTAAAAATGTTTTCTTAAAACACTTATTTCAATCCTCATTGGATTGCCTACCATTTGGAAAGTGCGGGCAAGTATTCTATTAGGGAGGATGAGTCTTTATTGAAGAGTGGTGGCTGTCGGGCTCAGGAATAGACTGCCTCAGTATCACACAGAAGCAAAGGCAGTCACACCATAAATGTGTGGCATGTCATAATACTGCCTATATTTATTATAAGACTTTATGTATATATTTTCACATACATACTTATATACGCATATACACATATATATTTAAAACTCATGCAGTCCTGAACTTCACATTGCATGATGCATTTTCTGAACTCAGTAAGTCCCTGTTCCCAAGATTCCCAAACTGATTCACTGTGAAGCCTTGCTCATATGATCACCATCATTTCATGCACAGCCTGCTTTCCATGAAGATTGCTGCAGCCCTGGGCGAGGCCCTGTCTAGATTGAAAGAGACATCGATGTGTCTTCCTGCAGCCAGCCTTGCCTGTTCCCACCTAGCCTTCATATAGCTGCCAGATCTATTTGCTGGAAACCATGTCAGATCATATAAAATGTACCTTGAGTCCCTTTCATGTCTCTCCGTTGCTTATAGAATAAATTCACATTCATCAAATTGGCATGTGAGACCCCATGCAAACAATGTATCAAATAATAATAGCTACGATAATATCCTACATAGCAGAGTGTAATCGTTAACTCCTGTTTAATAGTTAACTATATAGACTTCTATGTTATAATTATATAATTAGTATATATGGTCAATAATATGAGAAGACGTGACCTATCTGAAGGAAGTACTATATTACCATTTTACAGAGGGGAAAACTGAGGCAGAAAGTGATTGGGTAGCTTTCCCAAGGTCACCTAGCTATTAAGTGACAGGATTGGGAGTTGGACCCAGGCAGCCTGGCTCTGGAGTCTGTGCCTCTCACCATTCCGTCCCCTGCCAGATCTCCCTTCTAAGTGCCTCCATCCCCAGCCCATCCACATTCTAGTGATTCCCTCCAGGCACACTGTACTTCTTTGCTGGCATCGCTTCCCCTATCTGGAAAACGCATCCATCTCAAGCTAGTGAAAGTTCCTTCTGCAGACCACCCAAGACCTAAGTTAACATCACTCCCTCCACATGGTGGTGCCCACGCCTCCTTTACACCCTTATCTGGTTCTGTCTTGTGTAGCTGGCTGTCAGCTGCACCTGTCTGAATGCCCGGCAGACCTCATGTTCTTTAGACTAGGGTGCCAGGCTTGTTCTTTGTCATCTGGGGGTTGGCACAGAGCTCCCAATCACCCTGTCACTGAGTTTAATGATACAAATGTGAAGACATACAGAGGCATCGCACACTGCAATGCTGGGTAAAAGTTTTCTCTACAAGAGGCAAACATGTGCTTTAAAATGACAACAATAATGAGGACTGCATGGAGTCCTTGCAGATGATGTCTTGCCTTTCCCCATGCCCCCTGTTTTTCCTACAAGTGGGGGCAGGGAAGAGAAGAGAGGAAGGGCAGCATGCCCTCTGCAGCCACAGCCATCCTGGCTTGCAGGATTACATAAAAGAGATGAGCCTAACAGTCTGTCAAGGAAGCAAGGAGGTCCCACACTCAAGGGCTAGCGAAAAGAAAAGAGAAAACCAGCCACCCCACCTTCGGCCTCCTCTAAATTGCTACCATCCCAAACCACTCCTACACTTTCTCCTCCCCACCCTGTGAAGACAGAAGTGGCCAGCAGCGTGCTTCGACAGTCAGCCTTCCTGGACTCTGTCCTTAACTCATTTAAGATCATCATTTTCCTATTAACTCTCCATGCCAAGAAGTCCTATCTCAGCAGTGTGGGTTTGGGATGTCACAGTGGGGCCCCTTGTTATTCAATTTCACTGGGTCTTCTGTTTTCCTACTTTGTTTAAATGGAATGTTTTTCTCCAGGAAAAAAAAAGGAGGGGAGGAAGAGAAGGAGAGAGGGAGAAGCAGGGAGGGAGAAGAAAGGAAGAAGGAGGAAAGGAAAAGTTAGTTTGCAAAGCTAGATTGTAGACCAGGAGGGAAGTCCTTCATATGTGGCAAGAATGAATAAAATATTTGTAAACTCTTGAGACACTGGCAAGGGAAGGTGTTTTCTCCACAGAGAAGAGGAGGCACCAGGAGAGGTATTTCCAGAACTAACGGACCATGTGTCCATGGGCCCCTTCACCACGTATTTCATCCAGCAGGTCGATTTGATGTGACAGGCAGGGTGCATCTCCAGGAAGCGACTCCCTCATAAATAAAGGTGGGTTTGAGTTGGATGTTTCCATACAAGGAAAAATCTGTGGCACACGCTCTTACCACTCAGACTTTGTCTCTACAAGTTTGGATTCCTGGAAAATGACACAGGGAAGGGTAACTGGGAAAAAGAACACCCGTCGGCTTCTCATGGAAACATCTGTTCTGCTGGAAGTGTTCCTGGAGCTGAAGGTGAGCTGTTGAGACCCCAGGTGCTAAAGCTTTAGCAGAAGCATTTATCCGCTCAGCCTCTCTCAGGCCCTGCCCTTCAGGGATGACCTGCTGGAGCACAGGCAGAGGTCTGAACCTCCTCCTCAGTAGGAAGCAGAGATGCAAAAGCAACAAACCTGGGACGTGAGTTGTAGCTGCAGGGGCTGGGAGCTCTGGGGGCCTCTTCCCCCAGCATCTATTCTGGGCTAGTGGGTCCCTGAGAGGCCTTCTTAGGGAACAGCCTCAGCACTCCCCATACATCACAGAGCCTCACCTTCCTCTAATGTGGAGAAAATTCATTTTCCCACTAGTGAGGTCAGTATGTGTAGGACTATACGGTAGCTTTCTGATGTTGTGAGAAAAGTGACCAAATTATCATGAAATTGGTAAACTTTATACGTGAAAAATCTCAAGTCAATTCTGAAGCCAAATGCTGTTTTCCAAGTAGTGTTAGAAGTTTAAATTAATCCCAGTGGGTTTTCCAAAGTGTATCACATGACGCTAGTCTCTGTTTGGGTATTGTTCTGGAAGAGAAGCTTTTCTTACCATGCACAAGGCCTAATTTGCTATCTTCCACCATGTGAGAAATATGCTTGGGGAGAAACAGAAATGAAGTTTAAAAAAACTATTTTTTTTATGAGGTAGATAAAGAGAGAGGCTGAAAAGAGAAGACAAGGAGAGGAGGTTTTTCGTAAGCCCTCTAATAAGGCGAGATGAAACCTTTGTTCAGGGTCTATTATGTGCTAGGTGCTTTTTGACTCATAGGAACTCTCAATAGTTCCTAGCATTAGAAGTAGTATCATTCCCATTTTACAGATGAGGCAACTGAGGCTCAGAGCACCGCAAGAATCATCCAAAAGTGAGTCTAGTATGTAGCTAAATAGAGTTGCAAACTCAGGTAGTTCTAGCTGCAGTGCCTGGGCTCTTTCCACTGCGCCATGCTGCCCTTCTTAGAAAGGGCCCTGGGCCAGGCACAGTGGCTCACGCCGTAATCCCAACACTTTAGGAGGCTGAGGCAGGCAGATCACGAGATCAGGAGTTTGAGATCAACCTGGACAACATGGTGAAATCCTGTCTC
This sequence comes from Homo sapiens, assembly GCF_000001405.40. NCBI lineage: Eukaryota > Metazoa > Chordata > Mammalia > Primates > Hominidae > Homo > Homo sapiens. The sequence goes on along the minus strand of NW_013171803.1, from coordinate 17,013 downwards.
TACTAAAAATACAAAAATTAGCTGGGCATGGTTGTGCGCACCTGTAGTCTCAGCTACTTGGGAAGCTGAGGCAGAAGAATAGCTTGAACCTGGGAGGTGGAGGTTGCAGTGAGCCGAGATCATGCCACTACACTCCAGCCTGGGCAACAAAGCGAGACTCCGTCTCAAAAAAAAAAAAAAAAAAAAAAAAATGGCCCTGGTTGGGCAAGCTTCAGAGCAATGAACTCACAGAGAAGCTTCACGAGGATGTTATCTAATAAGACAGCAGGACTTGGGTAAAACTCCCAGGCAAGTGGCTTCTTGATTCCTTGCTTCCCTGAGGTCAGTACAGTTCTGGCCTTTCTGAGGATGTGAAGGGATCCCAGGCATAACTGGGGAACAACTGCCGTCTTCACATACATCCATGAAACCTAGGTGCTTCTGGATGTATGTGAACAATAATAGCACATGTTCAAGCCTAGGTGCTCCTGGCAGGAACGGTGGAGGAAGCAGAAGACCCATCAACACGTTCAGCTTACAATCCATTTCCATTTTAGAAAAGTTTAAAATATTTCTCGGAAGCTTTAATTCATCGGTAGAAACAGACCAAATGTTGAATTTCTTATTTGATTCCATCTAGCTTCTAGGACCAGCATTGAGCACTAAATATTGATTTAAGGAGGAAAGTAATATGAGATTCTGTGTGCAACGTGAATATTTAAAATTATGCTCCGGCTTGTAAAAAGCAAAAGTTGAGTGGAGAGGGTGTGGTTGCACTCATTTATGTGAGACGTCTGTTGCATGCTTAGCACCTGCAGAGCTCTGCGTTAGGTGGGATAAAAGCACAGGAAAGGAGATGGCTAAGGAAGGAGATTACAATCGCCAGGGGATGATGGATGGATATGGCGCTACTCTCACTGATGAACATAATGTAGAGAGAAAGTCATGTGATCTGTGCAGGCTAAAATTATAAGGTGAATTACTGTAAATTATGTTACATGCCATTTTAAAAGCCTGTCTCAGTGGGATTTAAAATACGCACACATTCACATATAACCCAGCTCCTTGACTAGAGACCACATTTTTTGTGAAACTTACAGTGTGTACTAACTGGTTACACAACAGGTGCGAAATAAAAACTTGTTTGGTTGAATTAAGCAGGTCAGATGGTGATGGGAATTCAAATTTTAGCCCTTTACAAGCCAAGGATGTATTTTAATTTGACATTTCATGCCCCTTATTAATAGTCCACTGAGATTATTCATAGATACCCATTTCCCAAACAAATCCATATGACATCACTACTGAAAAAGAGCCCAAGTTTCAAAAAATGACCAGATATAACAAACAATGAAAAGGATATCAACTAAAACCAAACCCTAAACTCACTAAACATGGCATCTTGCCTAGGTCAAGTCTGCAGAAACGAAACCAAGTGGTCTCTTGTCTTTACTGCTACAAATAACCAGTGACTTTTAATTTAAAGGAGAATCCAAGAGACTGGGGAAAAGACGCAGGTTTCCAAAGAAAAGTGTCAGCGGCTCTGAAACAACATGGTGGCTGACTTCTTCCCATGGGACACCTTGTCCTTGGCATTTCTGGGCTTCAATGTTCTGCAGATTTAAGGCTGGGTCTGAGTGACTAAGTCAGCTCAGACCTCACTCAGGTTTTGAATAAACCAAGATGCAATTGAGCACCTCACTTTAATAGGCAAGCTCTGAAACTTTAAAAAGTGAAAATAACATGTCTACATATCAAGCCTTACCACCTACTAGCAGTGTCACTTGGGACAAGTAATTTAATCTATATGCCTCAATTTCCTCATCTGACGAGGATAATAATATTGTCATGTACTTTACAGGGTATTGTGAAGATGAAATGAGATCACTCAAATAAAATGCTCAAAAATTTCTCACCATTATTATTCTCTCTCCAGCAGTTATTTTTCCATTTAGTCATTAAACAATAATTTAACCTTCTTTAAATTGCAAAATATTACACACTTACAAAAAAGTATATAGCAAGTGGATGTATTTTTATTTAAAAGGGCATACCTCTGTATCCATTACCTGGAAATAAGAAATAGAACCCTGCCAGTTCCCCAGAAGAGCCTCACACAGCCCCTCCCCACCAATTTCCTCCATCCTCCCTAAAAGTAAACACTGTTATGTCTTCTAAAATACTTCAATAGTTTTTCAAGGCAGCCTTAAATGACTTAATGCATGGGAATGGTAAGTGCTCAACAAATGTTGGCTACTTTTTAAAAAAGACAATATAAGGTACACTCAAGAAGTTTACCACTTCCTCATTTGACATTGCTCTCACTTCATAATTGCACTTACATGCAATGCTTCTCACTTTTAGCCTGTCTCAGGGCATAAGCAGTTTGCATTTATCACTCTGCATAAGGCTGTGGGACATCACACCATGCTGGATTTGTAATGCTGGCTTTTGTTAATTTAATGCATGTTCCTCCAATTTCAGTTCAGTTATCTGCCTATTGGTAGCCTCCTCAATAGTGTCCACGAGAACTGGAGCCATAATGATTGCATCTTGTTGATTGAATTCATCTAGAACTTTTACAGAAAAACCAGATAGTTCCAGTATAATTTTGGGAGAAAAAAGTGGAGAACTGGTGTGTCAAGAGACAGTCTGCAGCACACTAAGCATCCCAGGGCCACTTGGTCACATACATGGCAGATCCCTGTCACACCAAGACATCTTTCTCTAGTCATCTGAAGCAGAAGATTGACAGCTTAGCTGAGAAATCCCCTACGCACCTGCTGTTCTGTCTCTGGGCTTGGTGAAATTTTTTAGAAGAAATGTGTTCTCATCCCTTAGGCTTAACTCTGAATTCAGCTGGAGCTGCGGTGGACAGTTCTGTGTGAGCGCAGACACAACCTCACTGAAAGCACCCCTTCTCAAGCATGCAGTGCTCACATGCATTTTTCCATTATCTGCCCCAAGCCCTTTATACAGCCTACGTGGAGCCTGGAAACGCCTGGGTTTAAAGCCATCAGGATGGGAGCTTCGACTGTGGCAACCTTAGTAACTAAACGCATCTTGATAGTGGCTTTTCTTCCTCTCTGACTTTGCCTCATTCCTGTTTCCTGAGACCACCTCCCACATAAACTATCTGCATACAAACCCTCATCTCAGGCTCTGTTTTCAGGCCAATGCTAAGTAAGACATGGGTAGAAGGGAGAAGAAGGTGTAGCTTAAAAAGGAACCCCTTTAGGAGGCAGAATCAAGTGCAATGAAGACTGATAAGTGGTGAGAGAGAGAGAGAGAAAGGGAGAGAGAGAGTGTTTGTGTTGAAGGTTTGAGAGAGGGGGTTTTTCTCAGTTCTTCCTGAATGTACTGTGTAGCTGTAGGTTGGTCATTTTATGTTGAGTTGGATTGCAGTAAAATCAGAGATATGTAAGTCTTCAACCAAACAGTTCTCTGGCAGTGTAAAAATAATTCTGGGCTGAGTCTGTCCCAAGTCATTATAGCATTTAACTATAAGGACGGAAAGAGAAACAAACCTACGTTAGGATCTCATACAGTTCTCTTATCTATAAAATGAGGGCATTGGTCCCAACTTGGGAGGCAGTTTAGCCTAGTTAAAATTTCAGGTCCTGGAGTCAGACCAGTTTGAATTCCAGCTTTATGCATCAGTCACTAAGTGACCTTACATAATTTTTTTTAACCTCCCTAAGGCTGTTTTCTTATACATAAAATAGGTATAAGACTAGTTCTGTGAGAATATGTATGCAGTTTACTTAGCACCAAGTCTGGGATATAGTAAGTGCTCAAAAAATGTGCACTGTTATTATTGTGATGATGTTTTAGATTTATAACTTTTAAACCAGGGCTTTTCAGTCTCAGCACTATTGACATTTTGGGCCAGATATTTCTTTGTTGTTGGGGAGCAGGTCTCTCCCATGTAGTGTATGCTGTTGAGCTGTATCCCTGGCTTCTATCTACTATTTGCCAGTAGCACATCCCCTACAAGTAGTGACAACAAGTAGTACCTCCAGATATTGGCAAATGTCTGGCAGGGCAGGAGAGTAGGTGGCAAAAATGCCCTGGATTGAGAACTGCTGAGCTAGAGAAATTACATTTTAACTCTAAATCTGTTGATTACTGATTGTTCTGAAATTTAACTTATCACATGGTATATGTGTATATTTGTTACTTTACATTTATGCTATGTTGAAGCTCTCATCCTCTAATAGAAGAACGTTTCCCTTGGGGAAAGGAGGGTTGACTCGATGCTGCAGATCAAGTCAGACAGGATTACCTGAGCCTGGAGAGACTATCCATTATTCCTAAGAATGTACCAAGAATATGAGAGCTAGGGATGAACTCAGACAAGATGACTTCTCTCTCCACTCCAGAGACTGAAACTCTGAGAGGTCTCCAGGAAACACGGAGTTTTTAGAAAGGAAAAAAAAAATAACTGTATTCTTTTCTGATCTTGAGCCAACTAGTGAGAGCAGCTAGAGCAGGTCTTGGCAGAGGAGAGGGAGAGAAAGTAAAGCCATCAGAGCGAGTCTGCTTCTGGGAGGCTGGGAAATGGGGGGCAGGGAAGCCACGGATGAAGGAGCACCAGCAACCTGTGTGCATTCAGCTACTTTTAGGACCAGAAATCTGCCCTGTGCATGGCTGTTAGTGAAATATTTTTGCAGACCTTTATGTTTTCTTTTTGGATTTTCTTAGCATTTTATGTTTCTAAAATTAATATAGTTTTATTGCTTTTTCTCCAGTTGGAACCTGGTTTTTGATACTTGCAGGTTACCTTGCTCAATACTTTCAATATTTCTAACAACCAGCCTTACAACTTTAGTCTTAGAACTATCATAGGGCCTGCAAATAATAGTAGTTGGTTCCTTCCTTTCCAGTCCTCATAATTGTAAAATAGTTTTCTTGACTTCCTACACCGGACAGGGCCATGGGTACATCGGTGAGATAGAAGCCCGATTAGCTGGGAGTCTTGTCTTGTTTTAAATGCTGAAAATCATTAAAAGTGATGCTTCCTCCCATTTTGTGTGGTATCTGGTTTTGTTTCTATTGTTATCAGGACCCTTTATTAAGATAAGGGATCTCCCTTACTACTTCTGCTGCATTGGTTGTTAATCATGAGCAGGTGTTAAATTCTGTAATATAATTTTTCTGTGTCTACTGAAATGATCATATCTATGTTCTCTTTTGTTAATGTGAATTATTAACCGAGTCTAATGGAATGAGGTAGGGTGCGTCCCTTGCTTTTCCTTTCTCTGGAAGAGACTGGTTGAAATTGTAATGATCTGTTTCTTGGAAGTCTGGTAAAACTTGTTTTAAAATCTTTGATGTATTCTCCCTTGAAAGAATTCTATCTAATGATTCAATTTATTTAATGGTTACAGACTTACTCAGATTCCTACTTCTTCTTGGATCAGTTTTGACCAGTTATCTTTTACTAAAAATTTATTTCATCTAAGTTTTTTTTGTTTTGTTTTGAGACAGGATCTTGCTCTGCCACTCAGGCTGGAGTGCAGTGACATGATCATAGCTCACTGCACCCTCAAACTCTTGGGCTCAAGTGATCCTCACACTTCAGGGCACTTCATATGCAGATGACTGAAATTGGACACCTTCCTTACACCACATACAAAAATTAACTCAAGATGGATTAAAGACTTAAACATAAAATCCAAGACCATAAAAACCCAGGAAAGCAACCTAGGTAATACCATTCTCAATATAAGAATGGGCAAAGATTTTATGAAGAAGACACCAAAAACAATCGCAACACATGTAAAAACTGACAAATGGGATCTAATTATACTTAAGAGCTTCTGCACAGCAAAAGAAACTATCAACAGAGTGAACAGACAACCTACAGAATGGGAGAAAAATTTTGCAACTATGCATCTGACAAAGGTCTAATATACAGCATCTATAAGAAACTTAAATTTACAAGAAAAAAACAAAACAACCTCATTAAAAAGTGGACAAAGGACATGAAAAGACACTTCAAAAAATGACAAGTGGCCAACATATTTTTAATATGAAAAAAGCTCAACATCACTGATCATTAGAGAAATGCAAATCAAAACCACAATGAGATACCATCTGACACCAGTCAGACTATCATTAAAAAGTCAAAAAATATCAGATGCTGGTGAGGTTGCAGAGAAAATGAAACACTTATACACTACTGGTGGGAATGTAAATTATTTAATAGTTCAACCATTGTGGGAGACAGTCTGGCAATTCCTCAAAGACCTAAAAGCAGAACTACCATTTGACTCAATCCCATTAGTGGGTGTATACCCAAAGGAATTTAAATCATTTTATTATAAAGACATATGGACATGTATGTTCACTGCAGCACTATTCACAATAGCAAAGACATGGAATCAACCTAAACGCTCATCAATGATAGACTGGATAAAAAACATGTGGTACATATATACCATGGAATACTATGCAGCCACAAAACAGAAAGAGATCATGTCTTTTGCAGGAACATGGATGAAAGTGGAGGCCATTATCCTTAGCAAACTAATGCAGGAACTGAAAACCAAATACGGCATGTTCTCACTTATAAGTGGGAGCTAAATGATGAGAATACATGGACACACAGAGGGGAGCAACACCCACTGGGGCCTAATGGAGGGTGAAGGATGGGAAGGCGGAGAGGATCAGGAAAAGTAACTAACAGGTACTAGGCTTAATACCTGGGTGATGAAATAATCCGTACAAAGAACCCCCATGACACAAGTTTACCTATATAACAAATCTGTACATATGCCCTGAACTTAACAGTTAAAAAAAATGAAGGCACTTAGTAAATATCCTAGAGCTAAAAAAGAAAATCAAAGGGAAATATGGCAGGAAGAAGAGAAAAACTATTAAATGCTTCTGGAAAGAAAAAAACCATGCAAGAATAGAACTGTAATGAGTTGATTATTAGCTCTGCAGAGAATATCACAGGCACAGCGATGTGAACACGCATTATTGATTTAACTATATACCTATATTGAGAGGATGGGGGAAGGAACACAGAGAGTTGGAGTAAGAGTCTAACTTAAGAGTAGGAAGTAAACATCTCAAATTAATAACCGAGGTTGTGACATTATAAGATCCAATTTAGAAATCTAAAAAGAGTTAAAACTGGTTTCTTTTGAGCAATAGGACTAAAACAATGAGGTGTGCGACAGGGAATGGCTGTTTTCATTGTAAGATTTTCTCTACTATTTGATATTATAAAACACATACATATTTTAACTTGACAGAATTTAAATTAACAAATGCAAATAACCAGAAGACACATGCAAATTCAAGCATAGCAATAATAAAATAAATGGAGTTCCAAATAAAGTTCCAACAATAAGATACAAATTTTTACTTAAATTGGAAATTTAAAAAAAATTGAGTATCCACTACTAAAGAGATCACTGTGGCATGCACACTGTCATACAGTGACCCTTTGGGTTTAAAATAATCTATCTAGACGGCAATATGGTAATTTGTACAAAGAGCTAGTCAAATATCTCCTTCCTTTGACACAGTAATTTCATTTTATCCTATGGATATAACAAAAATGTACATTAATACTAATGCAGTGTAACTGAGGGTCTATGTTCTTATTTGAATTGTGGGGATTCTTATGTAAATTGTGGTATATCCATTCAAAGGACTATTCTCCAGTCATTAACATGAGAATTCCTGAATATTATAGAAAAGACTTCAAATATAAAAAGAGAGAGGGAAAAGGAAAAAAAACAAAAAACAAAAAACAAAAACCCAGGGCACAAAACTCTGCAGGAAGAACAGAATTTCAGCTTCCAGCCATGATACTACAGTAGCCAGATCTGACCTTCGACTGTAAAAAAGTAGGAACCTGGACAAAACTTAAAAACCAACTATTTTCAGATAGTTCAGACACGCAGAGCAGTTCTGTGAGACATAAGAAAAGAAAACAAATGAAGTGAGCCCTGTGATCTCCCCAGTTTTCTGTCTGGAGACACTTTCCAGTCTGTGGTACAGGAATGGGAATACCAAAGAGCTTAGCAGTCCTACTGAGTTGAAGAGATGGAGGTTGTAGTTCACAAGGATACCAGGGTAACTGGAATATGAGAAACAGAGTACTAGAGAGGAGAAAGCGGCACGGAGCAGAACTACAGAAATCCTCCTGCGTTTTTAGCTGAGATTCAAAACTGTTGAGCACATCACAACCTTTGGGGAAAGAAAAACTACCAGAAAGCTGAAGTCATTCAAATTCTGACCATTAAAAGTGAAGAAAACTCAGTGAACACCTGCAGCATTGTGCACAGATCCCAGAATGCCTTAATAGAAGGGTTAAACTACGCATAGAGGAAAAGCTACCTTACATCCATCCGAAACAAACTTAAAAGCAAGCTTTGGAGGGATCATGCAAATTACTGCTAGCCAGAATAAAACTTAATACTCTATACAGAACTAAAATAAATGCTTGGTATTTAATAAAAAACTACAAGATACACAGAAAAACAAGAAAACGTGAACCACAACCAGGAAAAAAAATCAGTCAATAGAAACAGATGCAGAAATAACAGAGATAATGAAATCTGCAAATGAGGACTTAAAAACAGCTGTTTTATTTATGCCCAAGGATTTAAAATATGAACATAAGAGAAACTGAGAGAAGCTTAAGATATTAAAAAAACAACAAAGAAATATAGAACTGAAAAATACTGTATCTAAATTAAAAGTTTCTCTGGATGAGAATAACAGATTAGACAATATGAAAGAAAAGATCAGCGAACTTGAAGACACAAGAATAGAAACTATCCAAACTGAAACACACAGACACACACACACACACACACACACACACACGCTGAAAAAATTGAACAGAGGCTAAGTGATTTCTGAAACAATATGAATGGTCATCACATACATACAATTTTCATTCCAAAAGAAAAGGAGAGACAGGGAGGAACAGAAAACTTTTGTAAAAATAATGGTTAAAATTTATAAAATTTGATAAAAACTATGTAAGTATAAATCTACATATCCAAAAAGCATAACAAACCTAAAGCAGGATACATGTAAAGAAAATGACTCCAATGCATACCTTAATCAAACTATTCCAAATTAGTGATAAGAAGAAAATTTTAAGAGTAGCCAGAGAGAAAAAATATTAGATACAGGTGAAAAAAGATAAGAATCATCTTTGACTTCTTATTAGAAATAATGTAATCCAGAAGGCAATGAGTGAATAAGTTTATATTATAGAAAAAAAAATCACCTATAATTCTATACTCAGAGAAAATATCCCACAAAATTAAGGTAAAATCAAGAACTTTTCAGATAAACAAAAGTTATAACAATTTATCATTAGTAGGCCTGCACTATAAGACATATTAGAGGAAGATTTTTAGGGCTGAAGAAAACAATATCAGATGAAACTCAGATTTACATAAAAATAAAAAGCAGGATGGAAAAAATACCTTTTACTCAGTTTTACATTTATTTAAAAGATAATTACCTGTATAAAAAAAGTAATAATGCATTGTGAGGTTTACATGTTGAAATAAAGTGCATTTCCACAATAGCACAAGGAGTGAGGAGGAAAATGGAGGTTTACTGTTTTAAGGCACTGATATTACACATACAGTAGTATATTATCTGAAGGTAGACTGCGATAAAATTAAGATGAATGTAGTAAATCCCAGAGCAATCAATAATATAACAAAGGAATAGAGCTACTAAGCAAATAGAGTACATAAAATGTTTTTTAAAAAAACTAAAAATAAAACTCAAATCAAAAGATGGCAAAAGGGGTGAAAAGGAACAAAGAACAGATGAGACAAATGGAAAATAAGTAGCAAGAATGGTAGATGAGATCCAACCATACTGATAATTGCACAAAAATAAAATCCTGATCACTATATGCTATCTATTGGAAACCAAACATAATTTAAATGTAAAGACACAGATTGGTTAAAAGTAAAAGAATGGTATAAAGATATGCTATTTAGACACTAACAGGAGAAAGCTGGAATGCTATATTAATGTCAGATAAAATAACCTTCATGACAAGAAATAGTGCCAGATATAAATAATATCATTACATAATAATGTGAGTCAATTTTTAAAGACAACATATATAATAATCCTAAACAACAGAATTTGAAAACACATTAATCAAAAACTGACAGTATGAAAGGAGGAAAAAACAAAGTCCATAATTATACTGAGAAATTTTCAGTATTTTCTAGGAAAGTAGACAAAGACACAGTAATGACATGGAAAACTGGAAGAATACTTTAAACCAGCTTGATCTAATTGTCATTTATCAGATACTTTACTCCAAATTGCAACATGCACATTCTTTTTAAGGACACATAAAACATTCACCAAGTTATTTTATACACCAGGCCATAAAAAAGTCTCATTAAATTTAAAATGTCTGCAATCATATGGAATATGTTCTATGACTGCAATGAAATTAACTTAGAAATCAAAACCAAAAATATTTGAAAAATAGTTATATATTACAAAATTAAACAACACTAGCATACATAATCAATGAGTCCAAGAAGAAATCATAAAAGAAACTAGAAAATATTCAGAAGTGGATAATAATGAAAATGTAAACTACCAAATTTATGAGATGTAGCTGAAGCAGTGCTTTAAGTGAAAATCTGAAAACCTTAAATCCTTTTATAATAAAGAAAATCAATGATACAAACATCCCACTTTAAAGAAATGGAAGAAGCGAAATCAAATTGAATTCCAATAGAGGAAAAGGAAATAATAAAGACTAGAAATCAATAAGAAAGGAAATGAATGGTTGTTCATTCATTCATTTTCTTTCTAGAAAGAAAAATGAATGAAACTAAAGGGTGTGTCTTTGAAAAGATGAGAAAAAGTGATAACCTCTAGGAAAACTGATTATGAATAAAAGATAATTTTAAAAATTATGAATATCAGGAATGGAAGAAGACCTAAGGGACATCACTACTGATACTATAGACATTAAATGGATAATAATGGAATATTGTGAACAACTTTTGGTTAATAAACTCAACAACTAACAAGAGATGAAGAGATTGTTTGAAAGACGTAAATTATCAAAAGCAACATAAGAAGAAAGAGAGCAAATAGTTCCATAGCTATTAAAGATAGTGACATTGAAATTGAAACCCTTCCCACAAAGAATACTCCAGGTCCAGATGGCTTCTTTGCTGAATTCTACATTAAAGAATAAATAATAACAAATTTACACAAACTTATTTAGATACAAAGAGAAAGAGACCAAGCATGGTGGCTCACACCTATAATCCCAGCACTTTGGAAGGCCAAGGTGGGAGGATTCCTTGAGCCCAAGAGTTTGAGCCCAGCCCTGGCAACATAGCGAGACCCTGTCTCTACCAAAAACTTTAAAAATTAGCCAGGCATGCTTGCATGTGCCTATAATCCCAGCTACTCAGGAGACTGAGGATTGCTTGAACCTCGGAGGTCAGGGCTGCAGTGAGCTGTGAGTGTACTACTGCACTCCAGCCTGGGCAACAGAGCAAGAGTCTGTCTGGAAAGAGTGAGAGAGGGGCAAGAGAGTAAAAGAGAGAGAGAGAGAGAGAAGGAAACATCTCCTAACTCATTTTATAATGTTAACTTTCCTCTGATAACAAAACCTAACAAAGACATTACAAGGAAACTACAGGCCATTATCTCTCATGAACATAAACATGAAAATCCTTAACAAAATACTATCAAATTTAATCCAGTAATATATAAAGAAAGTATAATACAGTATAAACCAAAATATTTAAACTGACTGGTGTTTATCACGGTCATGCAAGGTTAGTGAAACATTCAAAAGGCATTGAATTGCAGTTCGTCTTTTTGATAGAAAAAAGGAGAAAAATCATCTGCTCATCCCAAAAGATGAAAAAAAATTGGGCAATATTCAACATCCATTCATGATTTCTAAAGAAAACTAGAGATGAAAAAAATTCCTTAACTTAACAAAGGCAGCCTGAGCAACAAAGTGAGACCCCATCTCTAAGAAAAATAAAATAATTAGCCAGGCATGGTGGTACATGCCTGTAGTCCCAGCTCCTTAGGAGGCTGAGTTGGGAGGATTGCTTGAACCTGGAGGTCAAGGCTGCAGTGAGCTATGATTGCACCATTGCACTCCAGCCCAGGTGACAGAGCAAGACCTTGTTTTTTAAGAAATAAAAGAATAAAAAATAAACAAAGGGCACCTGCAAATAACCTGTAGCTAACATCATACTTAATGATGAAAGACTGAACAACTCTCCTCTAAGAACAGCAACAGGGCAAGGATGTCCCCACTCACTACTTCTATTTAACACTGTGCTGTATTATAAAATGCTCTTAAAAATATCCTCAGTAGCCAGCACAATCAAGCAAGATAAAAATAAATAAATAAAAGGAATCCAGATTGGAAAGGAAGAAATAAATATTTATTTGCAGGCAATATGATTGTTTATATAGAATATCCTAAAAACAATGTCAATGAGAAAAGAAAAGAACTTTTATCTGAGGAATGTGAGACCTTTTAAATTATCAGGCCCATAGAAATGTTAAAATGATACAGCAATCATATCCTACTTCCTCCTTTAACTATATATTCATCCTTAAAACTGTTTGCTGTTGCCACAAGTAGTCATAAATCAACCTACTAATGCTGCACCAGACACTATAACTCACACCCTATAGCTTAACAACAGATAGCCAATCACTAATCAATGTTATTTCTGTAAACCATTGAGAATTCCTGATAAACAACTTTATATCAGCCCACTCCCTGTTACCCTTTTATTCTTAAAAAATCCACTTGTAACTGCTGCTAATGGAGTCTATGTTCAGAGCAACTTGAATCTATGCTCCTTGTTGCAGTCCTCAAGCTTGGCCCAAATAAACTCTCTACTTACATTAATTTTGTCTCAGCTTTTTCCTTTAATTAGGTGTAAGTGCTTCCCTGAGTTCTGTGAGTCCTTCTGGAGAATTACTAAGCCAAAGGTAGAAACCCTTAGATTTGTAGGCAGTCAGTCAGAAGCATGGGTGGCAGGGGGACCACTTGTGGCCGGCATGTTCAGTAAGGGCAGTCTTGTTAGGGACCACAACCATGCCTTACAACTTGTGGGGTTTGCACTAACTGGATGGTTAGTGTCAGAATTGAACTGCTGTATACTCAGTGCCAGAACTGTTGAAACAGAATTAAAGGGGGGAAAAAACCTTTTTGGAACTGGGGCATGTGTATCTCCATTTAATAGGCATACTTCCCTCCACACCCCCACCCCGCCCCCGACACACACGCCAGAGACAGTGTCTCACTCTCTCACCCAGGGTGGAATGCAGTGGCATAATCATGGCTCACTGTAGCCTCAACCCTCTGGGCACAAGTGATCCCCCCAACTCAGCTACCAGTGTAGCTGGGAGTACAGGTGTGCATCACCATGCTCGGCTAATTTTTAAATTTTTTTGTAGAGACAAGGTCTCCCTGTGTTGCCCAGGCTGGTCTCAAACTCGCTCAAGCAATCTTCCCTCCTTGGCCTCTCAAAGTGGTTGAATTACAGGTGTAAGCCACCATGCTGCGCCAACAGTCATTCTTAAAGACAGGTGAAGTGTTGAGAATTACTGCCACATTTACCTATCAGACCACGCTCACGATCCTCTTGCATACACATGACTGTGGTGGTGGAAAAAGGACAGAGGATAATGTACTAAGAGTAGATTAGTTTATAAATAGTTCAAATGCTCTCCAAAATCATATTCTAGTAACAAAACTTTAAGATTCTGACACAATAAAAACCTGTTAATTTGAATGATATTAATTTGAAATTTATAGAATATAGGTAAGATTCAGGCTTTGGTTTATCTTTGCATAGCCAATACCTTTTTATAGTGGAATAAAAAAGATAAGGTCCTTCTTAGGGAGAATATTTAAGGAAGAAAATTACTTTCTGAAGTGGACATAATCTACCACATACAACTAATACTTATGCTAATTCTAAATTGGCCTTATATATTCAATGGGATCTCCTAGACAACAATGAGAATGAAAGGCTGTATCAATTAAGAGTTTCATAAGTTAATGGAATAAAACTTGATCTATTTGCAAAATATAATTTAAAGTAAATTTCAGACTCTTTTAAAAAAACTAAATTTAGTGGCTTTTTTCAAGTAATCTGAATTAGTAAAGTTTGATGAATTAGGCTAAGTTGTCATATGTCATTAACATATTGGCAAGGTCCCTGTCATATTTCTCTTAAAGCAAACAAGGAGTTCAAATGTTTCCTGTTCAGTCACCATGTGTACCCCTCAACACACACACAGGTATGATCTTGCGTATATATTTCACCAGATTACATAAAACATTTGCTTTAATAAATTTTTTTTCTTTTTTACCTTTCCTATGGTGCTGAAGGAAATATTTTTATGAAAGAGAAAGACTGGTAAGTTGTTACAGACTACAGGAGACTAAAGAGAAAGAGAAATATTAACTAAATTCAATTTGAAGTCCTGGATAGGATCCAAGAAAGAAAATAAACTTTCATGGAAAAAATAGGTGAAATTCTTTTCGAAAAAAATTTTCTTTATTTTTTATTTTTTTGAGACAGAGTCTCAACTCTGTTGCCCAGGCTGGAGTGCAGCAGTGCGATCTCAGCTCACTGCAACCTTCACCTCCCGGGTTCAGGCGATTTTCCTGCCTCAACCTCCCAAGCAGCTGAGACTACAGGTGCGTGCCACCATGCCCAACTAATTTTTGTATTTTTAGTAGAGATGGGGTTTCGCCATGTTGGCCAGGCTGGTTTCAGCCTCCTGACCTCAAGTGATCTGCCCACCCTGGCCTCCCAAAGTGCTGGGATTACAGGCATGCGCCACTGCACCCTGCCAATATAGGTGACATTTTAATGAATGCTGTAGTTGATAATATGGCACCAATGTTAAGATCCTGCTCTTGATCACTTTACTATGGTTTTGTCAAATGCCAACAATGGGTGTCACAAGGTATGGGGTATAAGGATGCTATGTGCTATTTTCACAACTTTCCTGTAAGTTTAAAATTAGTTCAAATTTAAAAGTTCAGAACAAAGAAACACTTCTACCCCATAATAACAATTATATATACTTTTTGTTTTGGAAGGAGAAATGCTCATCTCAAGAAGCTACTACAGGTACTGGGAGATGAATTGAAATAATAGTAGTCCTGAAAATTTTAACATCTGTTATTTCAAGAATAATTTCTTCTTACAAAAGTAACATAATCACCATGCAAACACTACAGAAAGTATTTGCAAATTCTCACAACAATAACAAACCACAGTCAGCATTTTTTAGCAACTTTCCTGTTTCTCCTTGGAAAAGAATTCAGATACCACCTATATCCAAAGCTATTAGAGATCTCATGCTTAAGAGTGGTCATCTCATCTCTAATTTATAATGTGCCTCCAATTATATCTACTGCTGAACACTAATATGCTTGCCAGAAAAGCAATGCAATTAACAGCATGGCATTTTTTCCCAACAGGACGAAGTAATTCATTTTGCATGTTTCCAAGCCACATTTGCGACAAACCTTAATAGGTGGAAATAAGTAGAAAAATTTCTCTCTTTTGTTTTGATGGTATCATAAAATGAATTCCAATCAATTCAAGCCGAGGCAAACTGAGCCTCTTAAGTTCCAGAAAGAAAGAAAATAGCATGGCTTGGACTGCCTCACACTACAAAGAACGAAGCAAAGGTTGTGAGCTCCTTTTACAAGCTGGCTTCTTGGACCAAGGTTGGCTGGCCATAAAGGAAGCAATGGGGGTCTGTCTGTCACGTTAGAGATTATTTTTAAAGGTGTGATTTGCATATGAATAACATAATGCAACATCAACTACATTTTCAAAATAGCACACACTGCTATCACACCAGGATGTTTTGTGAGCTTTTCAAAATAAGAACAGTTTTCACTACTAATGTAGACATTTAGAAACTGGAAACAATGGCAACATTTTTTTCTTCTGGGGTGATTTTGTACATTCTTGAGGTCCCACACAGTCTACCTAGGTACCTAAAAGAGATCTGGCAACAGGCTTGGTTGCTCTGTAATGTTACCAAGCCAAAAGAAACCACACCAAAATTGACACCAAAATATGCACAATTCATAGTGGAATTGCTGTGAATGGACTGGCTATGATGTTAAATGCTGAAGTTCTCCCTGTCTTTCATTTATAATTATAAAACCTACTGTGGGGATTTACAATTTTTATTCACTGTGTTTTTGGTTCCTTGAGAGTAAGAAAATATTCCAAATTTCAGAACCATGGTTTTTCATAAGGCCAATGACCTTCTCCAAAAACCCAGAAACTCCCTTACTCCGAGCCAAAGAGAGGGGTTTTAATGAGTCTCCAGGACAACTTGGTCAATGTTGAATTCTGATGATTAGTCTGAAACTTGATTGTACTTGTTTTTCCTCCAGCCCAATCAATAGTTCCTTCCATGGGGCTTGTTAGATGCTGATTGCTAAATACTTGGCAACTCCTTTGCCCTCTGGGAAAACAAAGAAAAGTGCTATTCTAATTACAGAGGTGAAGCTCTGGGTCAGTAAGCAATGCAAGTGTTTTTTAAGTTACCCAAATTTTGACAAGCATCCTCTGGCTAGGGAGGAAAGCCTCTTCAGATAATTTTTGGGGTAACTAGAGAATGGACGTTCAGCAAGACCTCTTTGAAACCTAGTGGTATTAACCCTTGAGCAGCAAGCATGCTGTAGGGAAACCCAGTATTCTATGCATCTGGCTTTACCCACGAGGCTCCCTCCATGAATAGGTGGGTCTTCCCTGAGTTAAGAGCTCTTCACTGATTATGAGCAGCACCACTGAGACGTACCACTGAGTTTGTGACAGCCATTCTTATTGCAAAAGTTAAGCTCCTCTTTGTCTTTTCAGAAATCTCTTGTCCTCTCCTACTTATTCAGATTCTGGCAACATACTTTTTGCTGGTCAGCCCACGTGCTGCTTGTACCAATGGTGAAATACTGTCCACCACTCAATATACTGTTTT
>NW_025791775.1:0-34400 GCF_000001405.40 Homo sapiens | reverse complement strand
AACCCTAACCCTAACCCTAACTAACCCTAACCCTAACCCTAACCCTAACCCTAACCCTAACCCTAAACCCTAAACCCTAACCCTAACCCTAACCCTAACCCTAACCCTAACAACCCTAACCCTAACCCTAACCCTAACCTACCTAACCCTAACCCTAACCCTAACCCTACCCAACCCTAACCCTAACCCTAACCTAACCCTAACCCTAACCCTAACCCTAACCCCTAACCCTAACCCTAACCCTAACCCTAACCCTAACCCTAACCCTAACCCTAACCCTAACCCTAACCCTAACCCTAACCCTAACCCTAACCCTAACCCTAACCCTAACCCTAACCCTAACCCTAACCCTAACCCTAACCCTAACCCTAAACCCTAACCCTAACCCTAACCCTAACCCTAACCCTAACCCTAACCCTAACCCTAACCCTAACCCTAACCTAACCCTAACCCTAACCCTAACCCTACCCTAACCCTAAACCCTAACCCTAACCCTAACCCTAACCCTAACCCTAACCCTAACCCTAACCCTAACCTAACCCTAACCCTAACCCTAACCCTAACCCTAACCCTAACCCTAACCCTAACCCTAACCCTAACCCTAACCCTAACCCTAACCCTAACCAACCCTAACCCTAACCCTAACCCTAAACCCTAACCCTAACCCTAACCCTAACCCTAACCCTAACCCTAACCCTAACCCTAACCCTAACCCTAACCCTAACCCTAACCCTAACCCTAACCCTAACCCTAACCCTAACCCTAACCCTAACCCTAACCTAACCCTAACCCTAACCCTAACCCTAACCCTAACCCTAACCCTACCTAACCCTAACCCTAACCCTAACCTAACCCTAACCCTAACCCTAACCCTAACCCTAACCCTAACCCTACCCCTAACCCTAACCCTAACCCTAACCCTAACCCTAACCCTAACCCTAACCCTAACCCTAACCCTAACCCTAACCCTAACCCTAACCCTAACCCTAACCTAACCCTAACCCTAACCACCCTAACCCAACCCTAACCCTAACCCTAACCCTAACCCTAACCCTAACCCCTAACCCCTAACCCTAACCCTAACCCTAACCCCTAACCCTAACCCTAACCCTAACCCCTAACCCTAACCCCTAACCCACCCTAACCCAAACCCTAACCCTAACCCTAAACCCTAACCCTAACCCTAACCCCCTAAACCCTAACCCTAACCCAACCCTTAACCCTAACCCTAACCCTAAACCCTAACCCCCCTAAACCCTAACCCTAACCCTAACCCTAACCCTAACCCTAACCCTAACCCTAACCCTTAACCCTAACCCTTAACCCTAACCCTAACCCTAACCCTAAACCCTAACCCTAACCCTAACCCTACCTAACCCCTAACCCTAACCCTAACCCTAACCCTAACCCTAACCCTAACCCCCTAACCCCCCCCTAACCCCTAACCTACCCTAACCCCTAACCCCCTAACCCCTAACCCTAACCCTAACCCTAACCCTAACCCCTAACCCTAACCCCTAACCCCTAACCCTAACCTAACCCTTAACCCTTAACCCTAACCCTAACCCTAACCCCTAACCCCCCCCCCCCCCCCCCAACCCCAACCCCAACCCCCAACCCCAACCCTAACCCCTAACCCCTAACCCCTAACCCTAACCCTAACCCTAACCCTAACAACCCTAACCCCTAACCCTAACCCTAACCCTAACCCTAACCCTAAACCCTAACCCTAAACCCTAACCCTAACCCTAACCCTAACCCTAACCCTAACCCTAACCCTAACCCCTAACCCCTAACCCCTAACCCTAACCCTAACCCTAACCCTAACCCTACCCTAACCCTAACCCTAACCCTAACCCTAACCCCTAACCCCTAAACCCCTAACCCTAACCCCTAACCCCCCCCCCCTAACCCTAACCCTAACCCCCCCAACCCCCAACCCCAACGCTAACGCTAACGCTAACCCTAACCCTCCATGAGTAATATGCCTGTTATATTTAGGGTGTCATGTGTGCATTAGGAATGCTGCATTTCAGTTCTGACGCTGCACTTGAACCCTGCAATACAGCCCCTCGCCTTGCCTTGGGAGAATCTCGGTGCGCAGGATTCAGAGAGGCTTTTCGTTTCCCGCTTTCCACACTAAACCGTTCTAACTGGTCTCTGACCTTGATTATTCAGGGCAGCAAACGGGAAAGATTTTATTCACCGTCGATGCGGCCCCGAGTTATCCCAAAGGCAGGCAGTACCCCCAACGTCTGTGCTGAGAAGAATGCTGCTCCGCCTTTACGGTGCCCCCCACGTCTGTACTGAACAGAACGCAGCTCCACCCTCGCAGTGCCCTCAGCCCGCCCGCCGGGGTCTGACCTGAGAAGAACTCTGCTCCGCCTTCGCAATACCCCCGAAGTCTGTGCAGAGGAGAACGCAGCTCCGCCCTCGCGATGCTCTCCGGGTGTGTGCTAAAGAGAACGCAACTCCGCCCTCGCAAAGGCGGCGCGCCGGCGCAGGCGCAGAGAGGCGCGGGGCGCCGGCGCAGGCGCAGAGAGGCGCGGGGCGCCGGCGCAGGCGCAGAGAGGCGCGGGGCGCCGGCGCAGGCGCAGAGAGGCGCGGGGCGCCGGCGCAGGCGCAGAGAGGCGCGGGGCGCCGGCGCAGGCGCAGAGAGGCGCGGGGCGCCGGCGCAGGCGCAGAGAGGCGCGGGGCGCCGGCGCAGGCGCAGAGAGGCGCGGGGCGCCGGCGCAGGCGCAGAGAGGCGCGGGGCGCCGGCGCAGGCGCAGAGAGGCGCGGGGCGCCGGCGCAGGCGCAGAGAGGCGCGGGGCGCCGGCGCAGGCGCAGAGAGGCGCGGGGCGCCGGCGCAGGCGCAGAGAGGCGCGGGGCGCCGGCGCAGGCGCAGAGAGGCGCGGGGCGCCGGCGCAGGCGCAGAGAGGGCGCGGGGCGGCGCGCCGGCGCAGGCGCAGAGAGGCGCGGGGCGCCGGCGCAGGCGCAGAGAGGCGCGGCGCGCCGGCGCAGGCGCAGAGAGGCGCGGCGCGCCGGCGCAGGCGCAGAGAGGCGCGGCGCGCCGGCGCAGGCGCAGAGAGGCGCGGCGCGCCGGCGCAGGCGCAGAGAGGCGCGGCGCGCCGGCGCAGGCGCAGAGAGGCGCGCCGCTGTTGGGGAGACGCGGCGCAGGGCGTAGACGCACGCCGGCGCCTCCCCGGAGGGGAGGGGTCGCTGAGCGGGCGGGAGTGAGGCGCGGCGCAGGCGCAGAGACGCACGTCGCTGGGCTGAGGGTGGCGGGGAGTGTTGCAGTCGCACAGTCGCGCGCCGCCGGGCGGGGAGCGCGGGGGTGGCGCGGTGCACGCGCAGAGACACACGTCCCCGGCGGCGCAGAGACGAGTGGAACCTGAGTAATCTGAAAAGCCCGTTTCGGGCGCCCCCTGCTTGCAGCCGGGCACTACAGGACCAGCTTGCCCACGGTGCTCTGCCATTGCGTCCCCTACTGGCGACTAGGACAACTGCAGGGCCCTCTTGCTTACAGTGCTGTCCAGCGCCCCCTGCTGGCGCCGGGGCACGGCAGGGCTCTCTTGCTCGCAGTATAGTGGTGGCACGCCGCCTGCTGGCAGCTAGGGACATTGCAGGGCCCTCTTCCTCACATTATAGTGGCAGCACACCCGCCTGCTGGCAGCTGGGCACACTGCCGGGCCCTCTTGCTGCCATTGTCGTGGCTGCACGCCACATGCAGGCAGATGGGGACTACACAGGGCCCTCTTGCTCCCGGCGTAACGGCTGGCGTCCCCTACTGGCCGCCTACTGCACCACTTAAAGTCACAGCGCCAGTTATTAATCCCCATCAGTTCTGCAAATTAAAACTGAAAAGGAGCTATTACTGCGGAGAGCTGATGTCCCAGTTATTAACTTGGAAGACAGCTTTTCACCAAGAGGCAGTACAAAGATGGAAGATAACTTCATTGAAAAGAAATACAGTGTAAAGAGCTTATTGTACAAAAATAGGGAGGAGTAGGCTGATAGTGCATGATAACAGCCTAAGAGTCCTGTGCAGGGATTTTTATTTTGGACTTCTTCACATTCCTGCCTCTGTCTCAAGTCTCCGCCTGTTTTCTTTGGTTTTCCTGCTACTGCCTTAGGTCCCCGACTTGCCCCACTTAGCCTTGTGGGACCTCCTCACTGTTGATTGAGGTACATGTGTGGTGATCAACCCGAATCCACTCTGGCACCAGCCTCCTTCCCGCCATACCAGGCAGGCTGACAGCGGTCACGTTTGTATCTACTGCAGCTGCCTCTTTTGAATGTCTTTCTCTGCCCTAATCTGTACTTATGGTGCCAGGTTTCTCTTAAGAATGTCCCCTTTCTCCTTCTTATCAACATGTAGCTAGCAATATTCTGACATTTTTATTGCAGAGTGAATGATGATTGGGGCATCTCAAGAGAAGTTCTAGGGTGTTTCTGCGTAGGTACCTCTTCTCCCTCCTAACCACAATTGACAAGTGCCCATCCACTCCAGCACTAGAGATGCTACTAATATATGCATTTTTGGTGGTCCCTCCACGTGAGCCTTCACAGACTTTCCCTTTTCCAGGAGCTCCCCCTCCTGTTCATGTCTAGCTAGCTATCTACTCTAACAGAGCCCACTATCCTGTGTCTTTCCCAAAAATAGTGAGGGAATGATTAATTGGAAACCATAAGAAATGATATGCATGTAGACGAAAACTTTACAACTTACACAAATAATCACTCAAAATCATCATTACACTAAAAATGCAAAACTATACAATTTCTAGAAGAAACTATAGAGGAAAAGCTATGTGCCTTTGCGTTTGGTAATGAATTTTAACAAATGACACAGAAGGTTGATATACACAGAAGAAATGACAATGTGGATTTCTTAATATTTACAGTTTATACTCTGGAAGAGACCTTGTTAAGAGAACAAAAAGACAAGCCACATATTGAAGAAAATATTTGCAAAATACAGATCTGAGAATTTGTATTCAAAATATATAAAAAATTGTTAAAACTAAACAATAAGTTAAACAGCCCAATTAAAAATGCACACAGATCTGAACAGACGCCTCATCAAAGAAGATCTACAGATGGCAAGTACACCTACAAAAAGATGCTCAACATACTAGAGAACTGAAAACCACAAAAAGATAGCACAGCTGGTCTATATCTCTTAGAACTGCTAAGCTCTTTAACAAATGACAAATTGCTGGAGGAAAAACAAGAACTCTTTTCATTGCCAGTAGAACACAGTGTATAAGACCAAACTATGCCACCCCAAAATATAATGGTAGGAAACCAGAATATGCAACCCCAAAATATGTCCCTTTGGCTTAAAAATTATTCCAAGCTAATTATTTTGAAAAAAAAAATGCTAACAAAGGAAGTTGTGAAAACAGAGTAAAAGTTACTTGTGTAAGGAAAATTTACACCTATAAAGGAAATCACCATTTAAAAGCTACCTCTCTCGACACCAAGAAGAGAAGGATAACTAAATCACTGAAGAGTCTTATCAATGGAGAATGCATGGACTTAACTCTGTATAATGAACCTTACCTCTGTCTAATGTGCTTTTGCTGGTTAACTTCCCACTACTGCACCTCAAATCTTCTTTCTTTAAGTTGAAGATAGTATTTATGCTTGAATTGAAAGCCACCTGTTGGAGATTTACTCATTTTTCCCTGAGTATATCCCATGTAACCATAAGATATACATGTTTTTAAACTTTTCTGTTTTTCTCATTTTAATCTGTCACTTTTTACAGAGCGTTCCATCTAAGAATTCCAAAAACAGAAAATTATTTTTCCTCCCCTATTACAAGTTGGGCATTTTTTTCCAAAGCTAAACAAGTCTCACCTTACAATCCAAAAATAACATTCCTAAGTATTTTGACAACTACTTTGATGTTATTTCCCATCAAAAGCTACCATGCAGTTATTTACAGAAGCCCTATTCATAATGACCAAAGGAAAAAAAAGGAATCAGAAAGTCTTACAATAGATGACTGTGTGGGACTCCACTCAGACATCAAAAGTTGTTATAAAGATTATTTAAATGAAAACATTTGAGATACTGAAGAAGAAGAAATCTTACCAGAACTTACTTTATCCAATTAAAGCAGAGCTCCCAGTAAAATACAGCTGCCATTAACCCCATCCAAGGAGTTTCTTGCAAATTCAGCTGCCATGAAGACAGCGTACTCTTTCGCATTAGCATTGATAAATGAAAATTAAATTCTAAGCTCCCAACTGACTGAACAGACCCACTCTTGGCTGAGGGGACCCCAGAGTAACTTTCAAAACTGAGTTCTCAGCTTTGCTAGGATGGGATGATGGGGTTAAGATACACATCGTTATACCCCCTCCTTTGCTAACCATGATGAGGCTTTCTTCCCTAAGGATTTAACAGAAACCAGCCCTTTCAAAGCCTCCACCACTGATATCAACCTCTCCTTTCTTGCCTGATAAGAGACCACCCACGATGGAGAGGTTCTGGCCAGCGTACAGAGGATGCACAGAGCGAGTTTTCATTTCCTCTGCTTCACCTTTTAATGTCAGAGGGCTGAAAACTCCACCCTGGGATCATGCTAACACTGCCATTTTTTGTACATGGGACCCATGAAGAAGCAAGAAACTCAATTGTGCGTGCATGCATTTCTCCTTCCATAAATATTCATGACTCCTCCTAGAGCTTATTAAATAAATCTATTTGGCCATTCCACTCAGCATAAATTGCTATTTCCTTTACCTCCTCCTTGAAACATCTGTTTCTGGCTTCTGGCTGGAGGCTATGCTTCCCAGCCTGTCAGAAGGACAACCCTGCAGGCTACAACCCTTTATAGAAAATAAATCTCTCACTGGGTGGGTGGCTCATGCTTGTAATCCCAGCACTTTGGGAGGCCGAGGTGGGTGGATCACCTGAGGTCAGGAGTTTCAGACCAGCCTGGCCAACATGATGAAACCCTGTCTCTACCAAAACTGCAAAAAATTAGCCAGGTGTGGTGGTGGGCATCTGTAATCCCAGCTAATCAGGAGGCTGAGGCAGGAGAATCGCTTCAACCCAGGAGGTGGAGGTTGCAGTGAACCAAGATCATACCATTGCACTCCAGCCTGGGCAACAAGAGTGAAACTCTGTCTCAAAAAAAAATAAAAATAAGCATAAAAATGAAGAAATGTCTCCTTTCCAAATTTATGAACCTCATCATTCTTCCGTTGACAGCATTAAAAGGTTCAAAAAGACCTTTCCATACTCTCCCACAGAAGCCCTAGAAATTGTCATTTTGTTAATCATTCTGGATGCCTGAGAACTTGTAATCCAATGAGTAGAAAGTTTGGTACCCCATTTATGGCTGTCAACCTGCCAGTTCTCAGGAGTTTGTAAAAGCCTAAATCCGAAAGGATCTCACCCCATTAGGACCCTTGTCTCCTTTTCTGTTGCCTTTGCCCACTGGCTCTGGCAACAGGGGTCTTTCTTTCTCCTTGGCTATCTTTGGATATGGGGGCTCCGTCTTCTGTGCCACCTTAGGGAATGCCTTTTGCAGGCATGGCTAAGTCATTAAAAAGCCTACAGTTTCAGTAACATTTTGAGTGAGTACTCTCTGAAGCTGCGTTGGAATCTCAGGCTTCTTTGTCTGGAAGATAACTCTTGGGCTACAAGTTTCTTATCCTAGCTTTGGTTTTGAGGCCTCTCTGTTCTCCTCTTGGGTTGGAAGTTATTCCTGGCTTTTTGTTTCAAGGTGTCTCTGTGATCTTGATCTTGCTGCTTTCATGGGAACTTCTCAGTTCACTAAATTCTCCCTTCTCCAACCTCTGCTGACTATGTGTTCCACCAATATGGAACTAATTCTACTTCTTTTCCTGTTTGCATGACTTTACTAAGAATTATTTACAACTTTAATGGCTCCTTTGAGAAAATTTTTATTTTCCAAATTGCCTCCTTTTAGACCTTTCCTTTCCCAGTTGAGTCTCTCAACTCCCTATAATCACTGAAACTTCAGGCACCCCACTCCATGCCTTGGAAGCTCTCAATGTGCTCAAGAATCTGCAAAAGCAAACACCTGGGGCTGAAGAATAAAATAGAAAAAAAATTATTTCTCAGCCTCCATAAGATTCTATGTCAAAAAAAAAGAAAATCTTTAAAATCTCCAAAAATATTGGTGAGAAAAAAGCCTTAGCCCTCATATGAAGAAGAAAAAACTTGTTCCATTTTCCAGATACATAGTTATAATACAAATATAAAATGGGGCAAAGACAAAAACCAAGTCTTCTATATAAAGTAGTGAATTTTGTAGTTATTGTAATCACATTAGGCAGGGGTCTCCAGAAAGGCAGAATCAATAGGATATATGTAGATAGATGAGAGAAGATTCATTAGGGGAACTGGTTCACATAATTATGGAGGCTGAGAAGTTCCACAATAGCCTGTCTCCAAGTTGGAGAACCAGGAAAGCTGGTAGCATGGCTCACTCCAGATACAAAGGACTCAGAATCAGGGAAGCCAATGGTGTAACTCTGATTGTGAGGCCAAAGGTCTGAGACCCTGAAGTTCTGATGTCAAGGGCAGGAGAAGAAGGATGTTTCCATTTCAGAAGGAGATAATTCACCTTTCCTCTTCCTTGTTATTCTATCTGGGCTCTCAACCAATTGGATGGTGCCTGTATTCATCCATTTTTATACAGCTATGAAGAAATACCTGAGTCTGAGCAATTTATAAAGAACAAAGGGGTTTAATGGGCTGACAGTTCCACATGGCTGCAGGGGCCTCACAATCATGGCAGAAGGGGAAGCAAAGCTATCCCTCTTCACATGGCAGCAACAAGAAGTGCTGAGCCAAAGGGGAAAAGCCCCTTATAAAACCATCAGATCATGAGAACTCACTCACTGTCATGAGAACAGCATGGCGGTAACCACCACCATGATTCAGTCACCTCCCACTGGGTCCCTCCCACGACATGTAGGTATTACAGGAACTACAATTCAAGATGAGATCTGGGTGGGGACACAGCCAAACCATATCAGTGCCCATCCACATTGGGTCATGGTTATCTCAGTGTCTTCCAGAAACACCCTCATAGATATGCCCAGAAATCGTGTTTGACCAGCTATGTGTGTCTCTTAATCCACTCAAGTAGATGTCTAAAATTAACTGTCAGAATATTTATGCCTGATTCATGGCTGAAATTGTGTTTGATCAGCTATGTGTGTCTCTCAATCCAATCAAGTAGATGCCTAAAGTTAACCATCAGAATATTTATGCCTGATTCATGGCTGAAATCGTGTTTGACCAGCTATGTGTGTCTCTTAATCCAGTCAAGTAGATGTCTACAATTAACCATCAGAATATTTATGCCTGCTTCATGGCTGAAATCGTGTTTGACCAGCTATGTGTGTCTCTTAATCCAGTCAAGTAGATGTCTAAAATTAACCATCAGAATATTTATGCCTGATTCATGGCTGAAATTGTGTTTGACCAGCTATGTGTGTCTCTCAATCCACTCAAGTAGATGTCTACAATTAACCATCAGAATATTTACGCCTGATTCATGGCTGAAATCGTGTTTGACCAGCTATGTGTGTCTCTCAATCCAGTCAAGTAGATGTCTACAATTAACCATCAGAATATTTATGCCTGCTTCACGGCTGAAATCGTGTTTGACCAGCTATGTGTGTCTCTTAATCCAGTCAAGTAGATGTCTAAAATTAACTGTCAGAATATTTATGCCTGATTCATGGCTGAAATTGTGTTTGACCAGCTGTGTGTGTCCCTTAATCCAGTCAAGTAGATGTCTAAAATTAACCATCAGAATATTTATGCCTGATTCATGGCTGAAATCGTGTTTGACCAGCTATGTGTGTCTCTCAATCCAGTCAAGTAGATGTCTACAATTAACCATCAGAATATTTATGCCTGATTCATGGCTGAAATCGTGTTTGACCAGCTATGTGTGTCTCTCAATCCAATCAAGTAGATGTCTAAAGTTAACCATCAGAATATTTATGCCTGATTCATGGCTGAAATCGTGTTAGACCAGCTATGTGTGTCTCTTAATCCAGTCAAGTAGATGTCTACAATTAACCATCAGAATATTTATGCCTGATTCATGGCTGAAATCTTGTTTGACCAGCTATGTGTGTCTCTTAATCCAGTCAAGTAGATGTCTACAATTAACCGTCAGAATATTTATGCCTGATTCATGGCTGAAATCGTGTTTGACCAGCTATGTGTGTCTCTCAGTCGGATCAAGTAGATGTCTGAAATTAACCATCAGAATATTTATGCCTGATTCAAGGCTGAAATTTCAGGATGAAAGCTATGAAATCTCTATTTGTGTTTGTATATCTATTAATGTATGTTATGTATATGTGATATTTTCTTAACTCCAGAGAGCATTGCAAAATTCATTTATGAAATCCTCTAAAAGTGCTCTATTCTAACTTGGCTTGGAAAAAAATAAGCATTTATAAATAAATATTCACCAAACTCCTAGAAATATAGGAACTGATCAAATGTTTCTTAAGTTAACATGATTTGGATAAAACTTAGTTAAATAAGATTAATATAGTATTTTTGGTGTAATAAAACAACTATATCTTCAAAATTATCATTATTGAATATAAAACAAGCATAAATTCCTATTCTGCTTGAGTTCTAGTCAAATAAGCTAATATTATACTTACTAGAAATGTAAAATCTTAAAGCTTATAGATTTGATTCTAATTAAGTTGTCATTCTTATGAAAAACATTATTTTTTTATGCTGAAAAAATACACATATATTTAGAGTTAGCCAGCTGGACTCAGTTTAGATGATCCCAATTTTGTTACAACATCGAAAGCATCATAATCAGGAGCAAGTCGAACATATGCCTTGTTCTCTTTATCAGGACAAATCAGGGTGGTGACCTTGGCCACATCACTGTCATAGAGCTTCTTCACAGCCTGTCTGATCTGGTGCTTGTTGGCTTTAACATCCACAGTGAACACAAGCGTGTTGTTTTCTTCTATCTTCTTCCGGCCGACTCAGTGGTCAGCGGAAACTTGATGATAGCATAGTGGCCAAGCTTGTTTCTCCTGGGGGTGCTCTTCCGAGGATATCTGGGCTGCCTCCGGAGTCGCAGTGTCTTGGGCCGCCTGAAGGTGGGTGACATGCGGATCTTCTTTTTTGCGTGTGGCTGCGGACACCTTTCAACACTGCCTTCTTGGCCTTTAAAACCTTCACTTTGGCTTCGGCTTTAGGAGGAGCAGGAGCTTCCTTCGCTTTCGGTGCCGTCTTGTGAAAAGCGAAAAACATTATTTCAAAAATAATTTGTCTACAGTAAATCTGCCTAAGAATAGTTTCCAAAGTACTTTTGGTAATTTTTAACCTTAAAGTTAAGCTAAGTAAAAGATTTGCATTAAATATCTAGACCATTTATAAATAAGATACAATACTAAAACATTAATTACTGAACATAAATAATTCAAGTTTATATACTTTTGGCTTCCTGTTTTTACAGAGAGACTAAAGATATTTTGGCCCGTTAATAAACATGTTTTTTTCTGCCACACTGAGGAATTGTATTATGAGGAAACACATCCCTCTAGATGTTGGGAGATGGTATATTCATACATTTTCTAACCTACTATAGAATGCTAATATATGACAGTTTATAACTGTCTACTTCCTAGTTTTCTCTGGAAAATAAAAGATTACTAAGTATTAAAATTATAATCAATATATGTAAATAAAACTACTAGAAATAATAGAATAACTAGAAACAACTCTATGCAAAGCATGCAAGAAAAGTAGGGCATGTTTCGCAAGTAAAGTAGGTTGCATTTTTTATAAGGAAAACCATACAGAAGATACAAATAAAAAGAGATACCTAACCTTCCCTGTGTTATATTTGTATGGGTAAAATGTTATGTTTTCAGAAATTATATAAAATTCCTGGAAGTTTGTCAATGTCCTCCTTATCCATGCTATGTGCCACTATAGAGTAATGAGTCATAATTCCAATTATTACTTTAAATGTTGTGCCAGGCACAGTGGCTCATGCCTATAATCCCAGCACTTTAGGAGGCTGAGGCAGGTGGATCACAAGGTCAGGAGATCCAGACCATCCTGGCTAACTCGGTGAATCTCCATCTCTATTAAAAATATAAAAAATTAGCCGGGCGTGATGGCAGGCACCTGTAGTCCCAGCTACTCGGGAGGCTGAGGCAGGAGAATGGCGTGAACCCAGGAGACAGAGCTTGCAGTGAGCCGAGATCGCACCGCTGCACTCCAGCCTGGGCGACAGAGCAAGACTCTGTCTCTAAATAAATAAATAAATAAATGTTGTCTGCCACAGAAAAAATCGAATATTTTGGTAGAAACCCCGTCTCTACCAAAAATACAAAAATTAGATGGGCATGACGGCATGTGCCTGTAGTCCCAGGTAATCAGGAGGCTGAGGAGGGAGGATCGTTTGCACCCAGGAGGTAGAGGTTGCAGTGAGCTGAGATTGCACCTTTGCACTCCAGCCTGGGCGACAGAGCCAGACCCTGTCTCAAAAAAAATTTTTTTAAAGGAAAACTATAGCCATTGAGAGTTATCAGATTCTAGTCTTGTTTCTTGTTTCTGGGCTATTTTTACCTCTTTGTAAACTGGATCCTGCCATCTGATGAATTTTGTCCCACAATGATACTTGGGGAACAAGAAGCCAAGTATTGTCTCTCCTACTAATGTATCTATTGTCAGTTAATTTGAAGGTCTCCAACCCTGGAACAAAGTTAGAAGAGGAAGGTTCTACTCCCCAAAATGCATAACCAAATTGTGCTACATTCATGTAATGGAATACTATTTAGCCATAGAAAGGAACAAGATATCAACACACACAAAGACATGAGTGAATCTTGCATGCACATTGCTAAGTGGAAGAAGACAGTCTGAGGAGGATACACACAGTGTGACCTCATTTAATGAGACACTGGGGAAGGCAAACTACACAGATGGGAAGCCATTGGCTCCATGGGGTGGGGGTTTGAGGCATTCCATATGATACTTTAATAGTGGGATATCTGCCACAATGCATTTGTCGAAATATGCAGAATTTTACAGCCAAATGGTTAAAGCAAACTCTATTCAAATTAAATCAAATTACTCAGGATGTGGAGTATCCCAGGACAGAATACATCATGTGAAAAAGAATTTATGCTATAAATTACGATGGTTTGGATGTGGTTTGTCCCCACAAAAACTCATGTTGAAATTTGACTCCCACTGTGTCAGTGTGGGGCGGTGGGGCCTAGTGGACGGTGTTTGGGTCGTGGGGACGGATCCCTCATGAATAGATTAATGTCCTCCATGGGGGTGAGTGAGTTCTGTTCTCACAGGAATAGATAATTCCTGCAGGAGTAGGTAATTAAAAAGAGTCTGGCTTCCTTGGCTTCCCTCTTGCTTTCACTTCTGCTATGTGATCTCTGGTGCACCCCTTGCTCCCCTTCCACTTTCCACCATGAGGTGAAAAAGACTGAGGCCCCGCCAGATGCAACTGCCCAATCTCGGACATTCCAGCTACCAGTATTGTGAACCAAATGAAACTGTTTTACTTATAAATTACGCAGCCTCAGGTATTCTGTTACAGAAGCACAAAATGGACTAAGACACAAATCTAGGTAAAAACTTTGAAAATGAATAGAATCTGTAGGCTGAAGGCACGTGAACTATACTTCATTATTGGATTCCATTTTATAAAGTTCTTTCCAACAGAAGCAATTGTGAACAATTGTAAAACCACAGTGTCTGTATCTGGAGTAAAACAATGACTTACATAAGTCGCAGATGGTGGGAACCAGCTTTCTCACTGTTGAAGTGGGAGGTTACAAATTAGCAAGACGAGAAGGCTAGAATGATTCCTGTGATAGTAGATCAGAGGTGGAGACATCAACGTAAACTTATGCTTAGTTTAATATAGATACACACAGTTCTACATAGAAAACTTTATAATTAGGTGTGTGTAGGTAGGTTAGACACGCACATATGCTTCCTAGCATTGCTAATGAGGGACAAGATACAATGTGCATTCAGCAGCCACATGTAAGTTTTCCCACCATTCTGAAAGGAATCAGGCTCTTTGAAGAAATGTCTGATACTAGAACTGGGACAGTAAATATAGGAGCCAGGATAATCTGGAAGTATCAGAAAGTAAGTACTAAAAAAATTAAAATATATCAAACAAAAATAAAAGCCAATAAAAACAGCTACCGATGGCCAACACAGGAAGGAATTGTGCAACATAATGCTATAGTGTCGAATAATAACTAAAGCTTAAAGTAATTATCTAGGTGTCTGTATTTGTATACCTAGGTGAATAAGCAAATGGAGTTGCATAGAAATCTCCTTTGCAAAAGAATTCCAAATAACTGATGTAGACACTCAGCCATCAAGAAGGTGGAGCCAACTCCTCACTCCGTAAGTGTGGGCTCTGCATAGTGACTTGCTCCAAAAGAACACATGCAGTATGGACAAGGAGGAAAAATAACTTCACAGTGGAGAAATCTGACAAACAGTAGCTCTGCCAAATGATCCAAGTGAACACCAAAGCTGACAGTTCACCTTGAGAACATGAAGTGACAATGGGGGACATTCTACAAAAATCCTGACCAATCCTCCTCAGTGCTATGAAGGTCATCATGAGATGGAAAGCCTAACACACTGTCACAGCCAGGAAGAGCCTATGTGATGACTACATGTCGTGTGGGATCCTGGATGGGATCCTGGGTCAGAGTAAGATAGAACTAAGGGAATCCAAATGAAATATGAACTTTAGTTAATAACAGTCTATCAGTATTGGTTCATTAACTGCGGCAAATTATGTAAGATATTAATAAGCCATGTGAGACACACTGATAGAAGATGTTAATAAGAGAGGAAACTAGGTTGCGGCTACATGGGAAATCTCTTTTTTTTTTTGACGATTTCTGTGTAAGTAAAAAAAAGACGTAAAATAAAACTTTATTTAAAACACTTTTTTTAACACTTCCTTGTTTAATTATTTATACCATGAATTACTAGTAATTGACACTGTTAACTAGTCCTGTTTTTTAAAATAAGAGCAATTATGACACAAAAAATTAAACAGTGCAGACTGATACATAAATCAAATGTTCTTTACATGTTTTCTGTTACTGTAGTAACACACATGTGTAAACTTAATTATCACATGTTTTTCTTGTGCTGTGGTTGTGTCCTGGGTTCATTCTCTAAAATGCTGTTCATCTTAGACCAGGAAAAATATTAACCATACAGACTCTGTTTCAAGTCATAGCTGAATATTTTCAAAAGAGTGACTTTGTAAAAACATGTTCCAATGGCAAATTGATTCATTGTGATGGGATCAATTATTCCAAAGACTTCTTGTCTTTATTTTGTTGCCATGCCTACCTTTTAGCCATGATACAACAGAATCAAATATTGGCCACTGGGAAAAAATATTCAAAGAAAGAAAGAATGTGAACAGAACTTGTGACCACGATGATTCAATGTTTTACCACAATGCTTTCTAAAACAAGAGTCTAAAAGGATATTCAAAGTCAATTTCCTCAGTGAGGCTTTGCAGAA
Source organism: Homo sapiens (assembly GCF_000001405.40). Taxonomy (NCBI): domain Eukaryota; kingdom Metazoa; phylum Chordata; class Mammalia; order Primates; family Hominidae; genus Homo; species Homo sapiens. Next base: position 18,827 of record NW_025791775.1, on the reverse strand, counting down.
AATGAGGAAACTAGAGAAACAAAAATGGCAGGACATTCTACGGTTGATTTTAAATGTTGCTATGTTTTATGGGAAAAAATACTTTACCTTTTAAAGAATCACAAAGAATTATTGGAAACCCAAACTCTGGAATGTTTGCAAATTTAGTTGAGCTTCTATGTAATTATGTCTATATAGGTAGCCATGAAGTTGATGATTTCTTAAAAATCTGTGCCTTATTTGTGTAATAAAAGACACAATGAATAATTAATACTCATAGGAACACTTACGAAGGGAAAATAAATCTTGGGGACTCAAAATCACTAAGCTAAAGGGAAAAGTCAAGCTGGGAACTGCCTAGGGCAAACCCGCCTCCCATTCTATCCAAAGACACCCATCTGATCACCGAGATAAATGCATACCTGATTGCCTCACGTGGAGAGGGTAATCAGCAATGCAAAAGAATGAAACCATTTGTCTCTTACCTACCTGTGACCTGGAAGCCCCCTGTCTGGCCTTCTCACCTTTCTGGACTGAACCAATGTACATCTTACACATATTGATTGATCTCTCGTGTCTCCCTAAAGTGTATAAAACCAAGCTGTGCCCCGACCACCTTGGGCCCATGTTGTCAGGATCTCCTGAGGAGGCATCACAGGTGCACATCCTCAAGATTGGCAAAATAAACTTTCTAAAAAATCTGAGAGCTGTCTCAGATTTTCAGGGTTCACACATGTAATGTAGGATGTCAATGTTTATAAAAGGGATGTTATTCTATCTACTATTAGAAATATGCTGTCAATTAACCTTAAACTTTCTCAACAAAATAAAAAATGTTGATGAGGTACAAATAATATATCTAAGCTTAAATAGTGTTGCAGGTTTTAATATGCCTACTTTTCAATTTTTCAATACTATCTTTACTAATTTAACACTGTAAGAAAAATGAGTAATTAAAACATGAATAAAAGTGTTTACAGGGGATGCACATGTTTCCTCCAGCCTCTGCCTATACCCAACTTTCATCCCAACTGTCCTGATGGTGGCTCTAAGCATTTCTCCTTTCTCTATACCAAGATCTCTCCCCAGAAACAAACCCAAATCTTACTATATGTTATGGCACGCTATGATGATGAGCAGCGATGAGCAGCCGAAGCCTCAAGGAAGGGATGCTTTTGTAAAACAAGACTTGTGGAATATAACATGTGAAAGTAAAGCCCACGGCAGAGCTCCCTCCTCAGCACACGGGGAGCAGACAGGAAGTTTTTCCTCACCTTCCTCAATGGCCTGCAGCCACGTCTCCCCAGGTCAGTCTTAAGGACAATGAAACTCTGGTCTTCACTGTGGACATGCCACACTACCAGGTGCTCCAAAGCCATGGTGACCCGTCCTCGGGTGGGTCCTGAGGAGAACAAAGCTCTGGTTCTAATCCTAACCCTAACCCTGTCCCAAGACTTTGACACTGAACCTAAATCCTGATCCCTATCCTGGTCCCTAATTCTGACCCTGACTTTGATCTCGACCCTGACCATGACCCCACCTCTAACCATACTTCTGGCCCTGACTCTGACCCAGATCCTAATCCTATCCCTAACCCTATTATTATCTTTACAATCTATGTCTAATCTTACCCTCTAGTGCTAAATAGCTGTACCCAAAAGCACTTTTAAATTATTTAACTTCTTTTCCTTGAATTCTCTAAGGACATCCTAAAGGAGATGTCAATATGTATTTTGCATTCCCTCTGAGTGGTATGGCTTCAGATAAGAAGTTCTAATACTTTGCAAGACATAAAAAGTTTGGAGGGTGACAGCACTGGGTTGTTAGGGATGCATGTTGGCATTCGTGGTAGTCATAGGTGCTGTTCTCCAGATATTTTCAGTTCATATTTTATGAATGCATTCTGACTGTTCCATCCCGCCTACTTACATTTTCACATGGCCACGTGACTTTTTTTTTGCCAATGGAGGTGAGAAGAAATAACATGTGACTTTTTCAGGAGAAATCTCCAAGAAACAGAGTTCTATTCCGCATACTTTTTTCTCTTTTCTATAGCAATGGGGATCTTACTGATTGTCCCTCCTTCCGTCTGGATTCCTGTGTTAGGATGACACAGCACAGAGCTACCTCTCACCTGACCCATGATGAAATGTAAATAAATGAGGAAGAAGATTTTTGAGCCACTGAAATTTGGAGGTTGTTTGTCACCACAGTTTAACCTAGCCCCCATTTACTGATGCACGGCTGAAGAATGAGTCCGAACTGGATCTAGACAAGACATGTGAAGAGCACGCCAGGCTGAGTAAAATTCAAGTGTTGTCTCAAAGATAACACTGAGCACGATATGTTATTGGGGTGGGTGTGGGATAAATAAGGTATATCAGGTGAGAATAACAAGAAACTCAACTTTAAAAGACGGTGCCGATTTGGAAGACACCAAATTGGAAGACAGCAGGAGCTGCCCCATAATACCAGTAAAGTGAGAAGCAGAGATAAACTAGTCCTAGACAGCTGACTCATGTTGGGGGCAGCCCACTCACAGTGACCCTGACCCAACTCTGACTAGAGGCCACTTGCTCTCAACACCAGGGTGCTCAATGGCCCGTCCTGGTACTCTGCTCTACACTGGTTGTAGGAAGGAATCTACAGGTTGAAATAAGGAGATCATTTCCCTGAGGTTCCGAAGCTCGTATTTACTCACCATTTGTTGTTTACTGCTAATGTTGAGCACTGTCAGTAAAATACATAAAACCCTTTGCCAATCCAGGAAGTGAAAATGACACTTTACTGTTTTAATTTGCATTTCTCTGCTTACAAGTGGATTACACACATTTTCATGTGCTGTTGGCTACTTATTCATTCAGAAAACATACTAAGTGCTGGCTCTTTTTCATGTCCTTTATCAAGTTTGGATCATGTCATTTGCTATTTTCTTTCTGATGTAAACTCTCAAAGTCTGAAGGGTATTGTCTTTTCCTGACACATATGTTGTAAATAATTTTCTGGCTTACATTTTGACTTTTAATTTCATTCACGATGTTTTTAATGAATAATTTTAATTTTTATGAATGCAAGTTAAAATAATTCTTTCATTGTGGTTTCTGACACGTCATGCCAATAAGGGTCTTCTCCTCCAAGAGCACAGAAATATTTGCCAATACTGTCCTTAAAATCGGTCACAGTTTCATTTTTTATATATGCATTTTACTTCAATTGGGGCTTCATTTTACTGAATGCCCTATTTGAAGCAAGTTTCTCAGTTAATTCTTTTCTCAAAGGGCTAAGTATGGTAGATTGCAAACATAAGTGGCCACATAATGCTCTCACCTCCTTTGCCTCCTCTCCCAGGAGGAGATAGCGTCCATCTTTCCACTCCTTAATCTGGGCTTGGCCGTGTGACTTGCACTGGCCAATGGGATATTAACAAGTCTGATGTGCACAGAGGCTGTAGAATGTGCACGGGGGCTTGGTCTCTCTTGCTGCCCTGGAGACCAGCTGCCCCACGAAGGAACCAGAGCCAACCTGCTGCTTCCTGGAGGAAGACAGTCCCTCTGTCCCTCTGTCTCTGCCAACCAGTTAACCTGCTGCTTCCTGGAGGGAGACAGTCCCTCAGTCCCTCTGTCTCTGCCAACCAGTTAACCTGCTGCTTCCTGGAGGAAGACAGTCACTCTGTCTCTGCCAACCCAGTTGACCGCAGACATGCAGGTCTGCTCAGGTAAGACCAGCACAGTCCCTGCCCTGTGAGCCAAACCAAATGGTCCAGCCACAGAATCGTGAGCAAATAAGTGATGCTTAAGTCACTAAGATTTGGGCAAAAGCTGAGCATTTATCCCAATCCCAATACTGTTTGTCCTTCTGTTTATCTGTCTGTCCTGCCCTGCTCATTTAAAATGCCCCCACTGCATCTAGTACATTTTTATAGGATCAGGGATCTACTCTTGGATTAATGTTGTGTTCCCACCTCGAGGCAGCTTTGTAAGCTTCTGAGCACTTCCCAATTCCGGGTGACTTCAGGCGCTGGGAGGCCTGTGCATCAGCTGCTGCTGTCTGTAGCTGACTTCCTTCACCCCTCTGCTGTCCTCAGCTCCTTCACCCCTGGGCCTCAGGAAATCAATGTCATGCTGACATCACTCTAGATCTAAAAGTTGGGTTCTTGGACCAGGTGTGGTGGCTCACACCTGTAATCCCAGCACTTTGGGAGGCCGAGGCGGGTGGATCACAAGGTCAGGAGATCAAGACGATTCTGGCTAACACGGTGAAACCCCGTCTCTACTAAAAATACAAAAAAATTAGCCGGGTGTGGTGGCAGGTGCCTGTAGCCCCAGCTACTTGGGAGGCTGAGGCAGGAGAATGGCTTGAACCTGGGAGGTGGAGCTTGCAGTGAGCCAAGATCACGCCACTGCACTCCAGAATGGGAGAGAGAGCGAGACTTTCTCAAAAAAAAAAAAAAAACTTAGGTTCTTGGATGTTCGGGAAAGGGGGTTATTATCTAGGATCCTTGAAGCACCCCCAAGGGCATCTTCTCAAAGTTGGATGTGTGCATTTTCCTGAGAGGAAAGCTTTCCCACATTATACAGCTTCTGAAAGGGTTGCTTGACCCACAGATGTGAAGCTGAGGCTGAAGGAGACTGATGTGGTTTCTCCTCAGTTTCTCTGTGCGGCACCAGGTGGCAGCAGAGGTCAGCAAGGCAAACCCGAGCCCAGGGATGCGGGGTGGGGGCAGCTACGTCCTCTCTTGAGCTACAGCAGATTCACTCTGTTCTGTTTCATTGTTGCTTAGTTTGCGTTTTGTTTCTCCAACTTTGTGCCTCATCAGGAAAAGCTTTGGATCACAATTCCCAGTGCTGAAGAAAAGGCCAAACTCTGGAAAAAATTTTGAATATTTTGAGCCAAATGTGAGGACCACAACCTGTGAGAACGGAAAATAAATCCTGGGACCCCAGACTCACTAAGCCAAAGGGAAAAGCCAAGCTGGGAACTGGCTTATGCAAACCTGCTTCCCATCTGGTTCCTAAATAAGATAGCTATTACACAAAGATAAAAAAGCTACATCCCTGCCTCTACCTCCATCACATGTAAAATGTGTATTCAGTGAACGCTGACCAAAGACAGAAGAATGCAACCATTTGCCTCTGATTTACCCACACCCATTTTTTCCACTTCTTCCCCTTTCCCCAACACCCACACTTCTCCCCTTTACTTACTGAGGTCCCCAGACAATCTTTGGGAAAAGCACGGACCACAGTTTTTCCTGTGGTTCTCTGTTCTTTTCTCAGGTGTGTCCTTAACCTTGCAAACAGATTTCTTGAAATGATTGACACTCACCTTGGTTGTGTTCTTTGATCAGCGCCTGTGACGCAGCTTCAGGAGGTCCTGAGAACGTGTGCACAGTTTAGTCGGCAGAAACTTAGGGAAACGTAAGACCACCATCAGTACGTAGGAGTTGTGCATTGGTTTGGTCTGGAAGGAGGAAAATTCAAAGTAATGGGGTTTACAGGTCATAGATAGATTCAAAGATTTTCTGATTCTCAATTGGTTGAAAGAATTATTATCTACAGACCTGCTATCAATAGAAAGGAGAGTCTGGGTTAAGATAAGAGACTGTGCAGACCAAGGTTCTTATTATGTAGATGAAGTTTCATAGGTGGCCACCCTTAGAGACAATAGATGGCAAATGTTTCCTGTTCAGACCCATAGAAGGTGCTAGGCTCTCAGCCAATGTCTTCAGGATCAGAGAAAGACCTGGAAAGGGAAGGGATTCTCTACAGAATGTAAATGTCCCCCACAAGAGACAGCTTGGCAGGGCCATTTCAAAGTATGTCAAAGAAATATATTTTGAGGTAAAATATTGATTTCATGGCCTCTGTCTGTCATGTGATGCTGCACTGGAATCAGGTTGGAATTTGGTATCTTATTGCTAGAGAGCCTTGTCAGTCTTCAGATCTCTGTTTTAATGTTGGTTCTGGTCAGTTCTGCCCAAATTCCAAAGGGAGGAGGGTACAATGAGGCCTGTCCAGCCCCCACTCCTCCTCATCACGGCCTGAACTAGTTCTTCAGGTTTCTCTGGAATCCCTTTGGCCCAGAGGCGGGGTCCACGCGATCGGCTGTGGGGCTTAGAATTTTATTCTTGGTTTACGGCAGCTTTAGGGAGGTGCTCTGAGACCCGAAACTAGACTCGACTTTAACAGACACAGACGACCCTGAAGGCGAGACTGTCTGCTGGTGGGATGCTGGGCGAGTTGCTTAATGTCCCTGAGCTGCTATTTGCTAACTGTGAAGTGGGATCCTGGTCCCTGACAGGCAAGATTTTGGCACACGGAGAGCTGGTGCACGTGGGCGGCTGTCCCCTAAACTCGCGTCCCTTCTTTTTAATCATACCCCACTGGCTGCACCTACACCTCCTCCCAGGCACACACCGAAGAGGATGAGCTCTGGTCCTCGAACCTCTTGTCTGCTCCCACCAGGCAGATTCTCTGTTCCCCGTGCCCAGGCAGCAGTGGTGGACACCAGCATCCCGGAATGGTGTAGAAAGGCTGACCCCATCATAGCCAAAGCCTGGGGTTTCCTGTTTCCCTCCTCCTCCTCCCCACTCCTCCCCCGACCCCTCCCTCCTCCACTTACCCCCATCCCCTGCATAATGGGTTTCTAGCTGCCTCCTCTGCCTGCCCAAACAGGACAGGCAGGAAAAACTGGCTTGGTTCTGAGTAGGCAGTTTCAGGGCCTTAAGGAGAAATTCATCGGCCATTAATCAGGACCTTCCCTCCGGGGAGTTGGCAGCTTCAGGTGTGGTCTCTGGAAACAAGCCCCACAAATTATTATCAGAGAACCTCTGTCTTGGGTGGCAGAGGCAGCCTGGTTGGGGTGGGCACCCCGGCTACGGAAAGGAGCAGCTCCCTCCACTTTCCTTCCTGCTGCATGTGGAGAGGCTCGAGCGGGGCACAGTCCATGACGAGATATTAATCTTGTGTTTGGATTTTTCCTTTTTTTTAATAAAGAAGAAAGATAAGGTATTGTGCTCATCTTGTAAAAATCAAGCACACAGTACATCAGTCTATTCTACAAAGAAACACAACCTAAGCAAAGATTTGTTATAGGCAGTGGCCAGTTACAGAAACAGTAGGACTTGCATTAGGGGTTTTGTATGGGAAAGAAAGGGAGTCAGACACAGACGTGATGGTGGAGACAGGGGCAGGAAGACAGAGCAGCTGACACTTCCAGAAATAGCTGGCCAGAGGCCAGCAGGAGGGAAACACCAACCCGAGGAAAGAGAGACGGGGATTGGGAGAGAAATTCAGAAGAGACTGAGGCACGCACACAGACAGACACACCCACCCACACACAGATACGGATTCAAAGAGACATGCACACTCTGAGTTTCTGAGAGTAAGCCACTGTCAGTTCCTGGGGTGAGCCACCAGCCACATGGACACAATTTCCTCTTTTTGGTAAGTCTTTGACCTGTCTGAACCCCCTACTTAATTACCTATAAAATGAGTCATTGCAAGGATGACAAAGACGCTCTCCTTGACCAAACTCCACTCAGGCTCCTTTGAGCCTTCTCCTTGATGAAGCCTCATCCTTGGCCTGCTGAGCTCAGTGCTAGCAAGGAATGCTGCTAAGGTCCTTAGTGAGAATCTTCCCCACCCTTGCTAACTAACCAAGCTCCTTTCAACAACTTTTCATCACCTCCCTCACCCTGCTCATTGGCTATCCCCACTTGTCTCTGTTGTATTGAGAGTTGAATTCAGTCTCTCTCTCTCCTCTTGCAATAGTTTTTTTTTTTTTTTTTAAGAGACAGGGCCTTGCTCTGTCAACCAGGCTGGAGTGCAGTAGCACAATCACAGCTCAGAGCAGCCTCAAACTCCTAGGCTCAAAGGATCCTCCCACCTCAGCCTCCTGCGTAGTTGGGACTACAGGTGTATGCCACTGCACCAAATAATTTTTTAAAACATTGTAGAGATGGGGTCCTGCTTTGTTGCCCAGGCTGGTTTTGAAGTCCTGGCTTCAAGTGATCCTCCCACCTGGGCCTCCAAAGGTACTGGGATTACAGGCATGAGCCAACCTATCAGCCTGGTAATCAGCCTGGTAATCACGTAAAACAGACACATAGACCAGTGGAACAGAATAGAGAACCCAGATATAAATCCACACATTTACAGCCAGCTCATCTTCAGCAAAGGCACCAACAACATACGAGCGAAAGGACGGTCTCTTCCATAAGTGGTGCAGGGGAAACTAGATAAAGATATGCAGAAGAATGAAACTAGACCCGTCTCTCTTACCATACACAGAAATCAAATCAGAATGGATTAAAGGTAAAACTGAGACCTGAAAGTATAAAACTACTGGAAGAAAACATTAGGGAAGTGCTCCAGGACATTGTTCTCAGCAAAGACTTTTTCAGTAGGGCCCCAAAAGCACAGGCAACCAAAGCAAAAACAGACAAGTGAAATCACACCAAGCTAAGAACCCTCTGCAGACCAAAGGAAAAAGTCAACAAACTGAAGAGACAACCCACAGAATGGGAGAAAATACTTGCAAGCTACCCACCTGAAAAGGGATTCATAACCAGGAGCTCAAACAATAGCAAACAATTAATCGAATTTTAAAATGGGCAAGAGACCTGAGTAGACATTTCTCAAAAGAAGATGTACAAATGGCCAGCAGGTACATGAAAAAATGCTCAACATCACTAATCATCAGAGAAACGCAAATAAAAAACTGCAATGAGGTCTTCTCTCACCTCAGTTAAAATGGCTTTCGTCAAAAACGCAGGGAATAAGGGATGCTGGCGAGGATGTGGAGAAAGGGGGACCCTCACACACTGTTGTGGGAACGTTGATTAGTACAACCACTATGGAAAACAGATGGAGGCTCCTCAAAAAACCAAAAGGGGCCGGGCACGGTGGCTCACGCCTGTGGTCCCAGCACTTTGGGAGGCCAAAGCAGGGGGATCACAAGGTCAGGAGTTTGAGACCAGCCTGGCCAACATGATGAAACCCCATCTCTACTAAAAATATAAAAAATTAGCCAGGCGTGGTGGTGCGACCCTGTAATCCCAGCTACTTGGGAGACTGAGGCAGGAGAATCACTGGAACACAGGAGGTGGAGATTGCGGTGAGCGGAGAGCGCACCATTGCACTCCAGCCTGGGTGACAGAGCAAGACTCCTCCTTAAAAAATAAATAAATAAATAAAAGTTGGCCGGGCGCGGTGTCTCACACCTGTAATCCCAGCACTTTGGGAGGTGGAGGCGGGCGGATCACAAGGTCAGGAGATCGAGACCATCCTGGCCAACATGGTGAAATCCCGTCTCTACTAAAATACAAAAAATTAGCTGGGCGTGGTGGTGCGCACCTATAAATCCCAGCTACTCGGGAGGCTGAGGCAGGGGAATCGCTTAAACACAGGAACCCGGGAGGCAGAGGTTGCAGTGAGCCAAGATCACACCACTGCACACCAGCCTAGTGACAGAGCAAGACTCCATCTCAAAAAACAAACAAACAAAAAAAAAACCATCTAAAAGTAAAACTGCTGTATGATCCAGTAATTTCACTAACTGGGCCTATAGTCAAAAGAAACAAAATCAATATATCGTAAAGACATCTGCACTCTCATGTTTACTGCGGGACTACTCACAATCGCCAAAATACGGAATCAGCCTCTGAGTTCATCAGCGGATGATGGATAAACAGAACGTGGTGTGTATACACAGTGGAATATTATTCAGCCATACAGAGGAACGACAGCCTGTTATTTGTACAAGATGGAACTAGGGATCATTATGTTAAGTGAAATAAGCCAAGCACAGAAAGACAAACATTGAATGTTCTCTCCCACCTACTAAAAAAGTAGCTCTCGTGAAGACAGAGGGTAGACGCGTGGTTACCAGAGGTGGGGAAATGTAGCGGGGAGAGGGGGAGAAAGAGAAGTTGATTGAAGGGTACAAATACGTGGTTTGATAGAAGGAATAAGACCTAGTGTTACATAGATCATAGTTGGCAATTGCCTACTGTATATTTCAAAATGGCTAGAAGAGAAGAATCGGAACGGTTCTAGCATAAAGCAAAAACAAATATTTAAGGCGATAGATATTCCAAGTAGGCTGATTTGATTTTCACAATTATATGAATGCATTAAACTATCACATGTACCCTGAAACTATGTACATCTATTATGCATCAGTGAAAAAGAAAAAAGAAACAAGAACTTAGATTTTAAACTCAGCACTCTCCTAGTGGGCTCCTTAAAAATATTTTTGTTTGGGAGGACAAAGTAGGAGGATTCCTTGAGCCCGGGAGCTTGAGGCTGCAGTGAGATAGTGCCACTGCACTCCAGCCTGAGCGACAGAGAGATACACTGGCTCTAAATATAAATAATATAAATATATATTTATGGAATAAATAAATGAATAAAATATCTTTGCATGCTGGTGAGCCCAGGGTACAGTCTGCCCTTGGCAGCTCGGTGACTCAGCCAAGGCGGCTAAACAATCCTCGCCCACTAGACAGTGGAGGTCGCCCTCCAGAGGACCTTATCAGATGTACGTGCAAAGCAGTTTTCAAGACAGTTTTCTATTCAGAGTGTGGTTTAGCCGTTCAGGGAGAGAGATCACAAAGGAAAACCACCTTTAGGAAAGCAGGTGAGAAAGGTGTAAGTTCCCAGGCTTGGGGGTCCTGGCCCAGCCTAGCTGTGGGCAACCCCGGGAAGGCTGAGCCCCGCAGGCTGTATGGACAAAGCATCTCGCTTTCCACACTGGCCACAGGTCTATCCCTGGCAGTAAACAGGTCACAGGTGGGCAGCAGGTCTAACACCTGTAGCGAAAGAACGCAGGAGAGGAACTGAGGCTCTGCTACCAGCAGATGCTCCAAGCACATCCCACGGGGAGGACCATGAACAACTCAGCTGGCCACAACCAGGAAAAGGGTGTCCAGGGCCTCAGAGCTGCTTCAGTGGGGCCATTTCCAGGCTCCCAAGCAGTAATGTGGGTGCCCTCTCAAGAACAGAAGCGGAACAGCCTAACGCTAATGTTTGGGAAGAAGAGAACAGTGATCCCCCTGGTTACCTCCCATCTCTCTCTGCAGTTCTCATGCATCTGTGCACACACGCTCACACACACATATGTCCATCAATCCACTCACAATGTTTGACTTAAAGCAGAAACCATATAAAGGGCAGGATAAGGAGAAAAGACGAAAGGAACTGAAAAGATGCAAACAGCCACTAACACGCCAATTTGCACCTTGCACAGGGCCTGGGAAGTAATGACACGGCTTCTCGTTATGCATCAATGATCTCATGTTTTCATTTTAACAAACACCCTAATACAAAAATAGGCTTTATAGGGAGGAGAGAAAATATGTTTTATAGGGAGGAGAGAAAAGCCATTCTGAAGAGCTGGATAGGTTGCCTTTGGCCCACATGGAGTCAGCCCCCTGCCCACGCCACCAGGCTCACGTTCAGGGCCCTGGCTGGAGAAACCTGAGCTGCAGGACCCGCTGCCCACCAATGCAGAAGAGAAGGCAGTATGCTTTTTGCATTGGGTGGAACAAAAACAGAAGAAATGGGAATTTGGTGAGAAATAAGGGAGGTGGTCCTCAGAATCTGCAGAGCAGTGGCTTCCAAACTCTGTGATGCAACCCCAGCCAGAAAAACACTTTACATCATGGCTGAGGGCACATACATGCACGCACATATGCACAATACAGGAAATCTGGAATACAGAAAGCCCTGGAATTCCTAAATAACATCCTGCCCACATGGGAATTCTGCCCTAGCTGATGGCTTCTCCGAGGCCTAGGCCCAAATCCACACCTGCTGTTTAGCCCAGAGCCAAGCCTAGGAGTGTAGGGTCCCCTATGCATGGGTGTCCAACCCCATCCCTGTCCGGAATAGCACGGGTGCTTCTCGGTGCCACAAATGTTGGTGGCGGCTGGGGAGGAGTGGTTCCTCCAAGGCTCCATGCCTGCCTCCACCACTGAGGCCAGCACGGTGGGACTGGGCTAGGGAGACAGGCAGGCTGGCCTACCCACTGAAGGAGCCAGTCTGCTTCCACCTAGTCAGCAGCTCCAGGGAGCGCATCTCCCTCCAGGAAGGGCAGGAGGCCAAGAGGAGCTGGAAAGGTGGGCATTTGATATCATGAGGTATAAAGAGAGCTCCTAGGGGTCCCAGACATCAACTAATAAAAGCACCTCAGAAGTTCATAGATGGGGAAATAGCTGTGTGAATATACCGTGTTATCCAAGTCATGCGGAGAGGAAGGGCTCGAACCCATGGCTACTACTCCCCACCCCCGTCCTCCTCCTCCTCTTTCCATTAAGTTTTTGTGATTATGAAAGTAGCTTACATTTGGTGTAGAAAATATGGAACATATGGAAAAATTTAAAAAGACTCAGGCAAAGGGTCATGTGTCACTTATGACCAGAGGCCGTTGCTCTTTATTAACAGATGGAAACGTTTTCTTCCAAATTGTGCTGCACGTTTTTGGCGAGAGCATGGGGCTGTGCGGCGTCCCCTCCCTGGCGCCCACCTGTGCCCTGCACACTGGCCTGCACTGTGGTGATCTCGCTTGGCCCCCACCTGATTCCCGACATACAGCAGAGGAACCTTAGGCTCAGGTGGAACAGCCTCAACTGATTCTGTCCCTGAACTTCCGTACACAGCCCTGGAGTCGTCTTAGAGCCATGATTTATTTAACTGTTCTTTCATTTTACAGAACATAAAATGTATTGTTTCCAACTTTTTTCCTATGGTAAATAATACTAAAGTAAATATCTCTGTGCATGAATCTTTTTGTATATGTTGGAATATCCTTAAGATAAGGCCCCAGAACTAAAAGTACCCTGTCAAAAGGTGAGCATTTCCGGTTCCCCTGCTGTGCTTTGCTGCGTTGTTCTCTCCTGCTGCAACGTTCTCACTCCACAATCCTGGGGCAGGGAGGGGAGGCCCAGCTGAGTTTGGATCATAATCCTGAAAGACACAATCCCAAGCACCATAATGTGGAATGTTGAAATCCCTAAAGATCAAAATCCCTCAAGTCTAAAATCCCTGATATTTCAGATGACCACAGCTACAGGGCTAGGTGCACACAATTAGTAACCGTAGCGATATACGTGTACACGTTTCTCTTTTGACTTATTTCTTTATGGTCTGTCTTCTTATAACTGCTACACCCATGCCGCCGTCGTTAGTTACCTCAGTGTTTATGCAAAAATACCTGTTATCATTGCCTATTTTATTGTGTAAAGTGGCCTATGAAATGTTCTGTTGTGTTTTTATGTTTCTCAAATACATACCTTTTAAAAATGTAAATAAATAACATCGACATTATTTTTTCCAGATTTATACTTTTGGGATTTTGATCTTTGGGATTTCAGGATGAGGTATTCGGAGCTGTGTCTTTGGGGATGATGACTGGCTCCTGTGCCGTCCCACCCATCTTTGCGGCATGGGACCTTGGCATCCCCACCTCGGCCCTGGCTCTACCTGACCTCACAATGGACCAGGCCAACTCAGTCAATGTGGAGGCAGCATCAGGTAGACCTGGGGCTGAAACTCAACACTGGTGTTCACCTTGACCTAGCTTCTCTGAGCCTCAAGTTCCTCATCTGGACACCAGTGGGGTTAGGGGCTGAGGCACATCAGCACTAAGCAGGAGAGCTCATCGTTGCCATGCATCAGCTGTGGCTCTAGAGCCGAGACGCTCCCAGCCGTGTAGGCTTCCCAGCAGTGCAGGCCCCTCTCTAGAGCTGAGATGCTCCCGGCAGTGCAGGCCCCTCTCTAGAGCCGAGACGCTCCCAGCCGTGTAGGCCCCTCTAGAGCCAAGACGCTGCAGGGTTAATCAGGGCTGCCCAACAGTCCATCCCCTCTTCTCTCTCTGAAATCAAGAAACATTCCAAATTCCAAAATGCAACTGGTCCCAAGTGTTTCAGTTAAGGGACTGTGGCCCTGTGTAATGCCAGGCAGTGACAAGGACTGTGACTGGGAGCCATCGTAAGTCGATGCTGAATGCCAAAGGGAGGAAAGGAGGCAGCGGTCCTTAAAGGGCCCACTGAGCTCAGATCCCACGCCTGAGCCTCCGCCTCTCCGTGCAGTCCCGGAGATGGCACACAGCCTTCTGCACGAACCGCAATGAGCTGGGCTCCCTCATCACCGCTAGGAGCACTCTGAGAAAGCAGGGCCCTTCCACGGGGTTCTGCAGGAGAACGGCGAAGGGTGCTGTTCAACCTGCTCAGTCAGTTGCTAGGTGAGGAGAATTTAGTATTCATAAGTGAAAATTTCTAAGTTACTGGAATTAATTATGGGGTTTGATTCTACATCATCCAGAAAAGCCTGGATGCCACACAGACTCAATGCTGAAAGCTCCCAGTGCACCTGCACAAACACACCCACACATGCACCCATATCATATACACACGTGCAAACATGTTCACATTCACACTCACTCCTACATACTCGGATCATATACACATTTGTGCACACGTGTTCATATTCACACTCCTACACACCCAGATCATACACACATACACACACTTGTGCATACACATTCATGCTCACTCCCACACACCCAGATCATATACACACTCGTGCACACATGCTCACATTCACAATCACTCATACCCAGATCATACACACACTTATGCACACATTCACACTCACTCATACATACACAGATCATATACATACTTGTGCATACGTGTTCGTATTCACACTCCTACACACCCAGATCATACACACATACACACACTTGTGCATACACATTCATGCTCACTCCTACACACCCAGATCATATATACACTCGTGCACACATGTTCACATTCATGCTCACTCATACACACCGATTGTACACTCGTGCACACATTCACACTCATACACACCCAAATCATATATTCATGCACACATGTTCACATTCATGCACACATGTTCACATTCATGCTCACTCATACACACCCAGATCATATATACACTCGTGCACACATTCACACTCATACACACCCAAATCATACTCACATTCATGCACACATGTTCACTCATGCTCACTCATACACACCCAGATCATATATACACTCGTGCACACATGTTCACATTCACTCATACACAGCCCAAAATATACACATTAATGCACACAATACATATTCATACTTGCACACACCCAAATCATATACCCACTCACACACACATGTTCACATTCACACTCATACACACTCAGATCATAAATACATATGTACACATTCACATTCATACCCCCAAATCATACGCACACTAGTGTATACATGTACACACTCACACACACAAATCATACACACTCATACACACAGTCATACACACTCACACATACCCCCAAATCATATACACACTCATGCACACCGTCACACATATAATCCAAACACACAAAAATATATGCATGCGCTCATTCATACACAATCTCACACATACATATACAGCCATGTGGGATTTTTCTGCCATTTTCAGAAATGTAAATTTTGTAGTTCCTGCTTTTTAAAGACTATAAATTATTTTTAATTTACCTTCATTCTCAATTTTGTTTGTTATAAGTAGCTTGATTGTCATACAGCATCCAACGACGCATATTTCCTTTATTTTTTTTGAGATGGAGTCTTGCTCTGTCACCCAGGCTGGAGTGCAGGGGCGCGATCTCGGCTCACTGCAACCTCTGCCTCCCGGGTTCAAGTGATTCTCCTGCCTCAGCCTCCCGAGTAGCTGGGATTACAGATGCCCATCACCACGCCCAGCTAATTTTTGTATTCTTAGTAGAGACGGGGTTTCACCATGTTGGCTAGGCTGGTCTTGAACTCCTGACCTCATGATCCACCTGCCTCGGCCTCCCAAAGTGCTGGGATTACAGGTGCGAGCCACCGTGCTCTGCATATTTTCATGTTAAAAATGTTTTATTTAAAAAAAAAAAAAAGATGTCCAGAAGAGTTGCAAAGACAGTACTGCAACTTCCCACAGACCCGTTCACCAGCTTCCTCTCACTTGAGCATCTTACACAGCAATGATGCACGTGTGGAAACTGCGACACTCACACGGGTGCCATCTCAGCAGCTCACGGTGTGGAAACTGCGACACTCACACGGGTGCCATCTCAGCAGCTCACGGTGTGGAAACTGCGACACTCACGTGGGTGCCATCTCAGCAGCTCACGGTGTGGAAACTGCGACACTCACACGGGTGCCATCTCAGCAGCTCACGGTGTGGAAACTGCGACACTCACGTGGGTGCCATCTCAGCAGCTCACGGTGTAGAAACTGCGACACTCCCATGGGTGCCATCTCAGCAGCTCACGGTGTGGAAACTGCGACACTCACACGGGTGCCATCTCAGCAGCTCACGGTGTGGAAACTGCGACACTCACACGGGTGCCATCTCAGCAGCTCACGGTGTAGAAACTGCGACACTCCCATGGGTGCCATCTCAGCAGCTCACGGTGTGGAAACTGCGACACTCACACGGGTGCCATCTCAGCAGCTCACGGTGTGGAAACTGCGACACTCACACGGGTGCCATCTCAGCAGCTCACGGTGTGGAAACTGCGACACTCACGCGGGTGCCATCTCAGCAGCTCACGGTGTGGAAACTGCGACACTCACGCGGGTGCCATCTCAGCAGCTCACGGTGTGGAAACTGCGACACTCCCATGGGTGCCATCTCAGCAGCTCACGGTGTGGAAACTGCGACACTCACACGGGTGCCATCTCAGCAGCTCACGGTGTGGAAACTGCGACACTCACACGGGTGCCATCTCAGCAGCTCACGGTGTAGAAACTGCGACACTCCCATGGGTGCCATCTCAGCAGCTCACGGTGTGGAAACTGCGACACTCACACGGGTGCCATCTCAGCAGCTCACGGTGTAGAAACTGCGACACTCCCATGGGTGCCATCTCAGCAGCTCACGGTGTGGAAACTGCGACACTCACGCGGGTGCCATCTCAGCAGCTCACGGTGTGGAAACTGCGACACTCACGCGGGTGCCATCTCAGCAGCTCACGGTGTGGAAACTGCGACACTCACGCGGGTGCCATCTCAGCAGCTCACGGTGTGGAAACTGCGACACTCACGCGGGTGCCATCTCAGCAGCTCACGGTGTGGAAACTGCGACACTCACGCGGGTGCCATCTCAGCAGCTCACGGTGTGGAAACTGCGACACTCACGCGGGTGCCATCTCAGCAGCTCACGGTGTGGAAACTGCGACACTCACGCGGGTGCCATCTCAGCAGCTCACGGTGTGGAAACTGCGACACTCACGCGGGTGCCATCTCAGCAGCTCACGGTGTGGAAACTGCGACACTCACGCGGGTGCCATCTCAGCAGCTCACGGTGTGGAAACTGCGACACTCACGCGGGTGCCGTCTCAGCAGCTCACGGTGTGGAAACTGCGACACTCACGCGGGTGCCGTCTCAGCAGCTCACGGTGTGGAAACTGCGACACTCACGCGGGTGCCGTCTCAGCAGCTCACGGTGTGGAAACTGCGACACTCACGCGGGTGCCGTCTCAGCAGCTCACGGTGTGGAAACTGCGACACTCACGCGGGTGCCGTCTCAGCAGCTCACGGTGTGGAAACTGCGACACTCACGCGGGTGCCGTCTCAGCAGCTCACGGTGTGGAAACTGCGACACTCACGCGGGTGCCGTCTCAGCAGCTCACGGTGTGGAAACTGCGACACTCACGCGGGTGCCGTCTCAGCAGCTCACGGTGTGGAAACTGCGACACTCACGCGGGTGCCGTCTCAGCAGCTCACGGTGTGGAAACTGCGACACTCACGCGGGTGCCGTCTCAGCAGCTCACGGTGTGGAAACTGCGACACTCACGCGGGTGCCGTCTCAGCAGCTCACGGTGTGGAAACTGCGACACTCCCGCGGGTGCCGTCTCAGCAGCTCACGGTGTGGAAACTGCGACACTCACGCGGGTGCCGTCTCAGCAGCTCACGGTGTGGAAACTGCGACACTCACGCGGGTGCCGTCTCAGCAGCTCACGGTGTGGAAACTGCGACACTCACGCGGGTGCCGTCTCAGCAGCTCACGGTGTGGAAACTGCGACACTCACGCGGGTGCCGTCTCAGCAGCTCACGGTGTGGAAACTGCGACACTCACGCGGGTGCCGTCTCAGCAGCTCACGGTGTGGAAACTGCGACACTCACGCGGGTGCCGTCTCAGCAGCTCACGGTGTGGAAACTGCGACACTCACGCGGGTGCCGTCTCAGCAGCTCACGGTGTGGAAACTGCGACACTCACGCGGGTGCCGTCTCAGCAGCTCACGGTGTGGAAACTGCGACACTCACGCGGGTGCCGTCTCAGCAGCTCACGGTGTGGAAACTGCGACACTCACGCGGGTGCCGTCTCAGCAGCTCACGGTGTGGAAACTGCGACACTCACGCAGGTGCCATCTCAGCAGGTCACGGTGTGGAAACTGCGACACTCCCGCGGGTGCCATCTCAGCAGCTCACGGTGTGGAAACTGCGACACTCACGCGGGTGCCGTCTCAGCAGCTCACGGTGTGGAAACTGCGACACTCACGCGGGTGCCGTCTCAGCAGCTCACGGTGTGGAAACTGCGACACTCCCGCGGGTGCCATCTCAGCAGCTCACGGTGTGGAAACTGCGACACTCACACGGGTGCCGTCTCAGCAGCTCACGGTGTGGAAACTGCGACACTCACGCGGGTGCCGTCTCAGCAGCTCACGGTGTGGAAACTGCGACACTCACGCGGGTGCCGTCTCAGCAGCTCACGGTGTGGAAACTGCGACACTCACGCGGGTGCCGTCTCAGCAGCTCACGGTGTGGAAACTGCGACACTCACGCGGGTGCCGTCTCAGCAGCTCACGTCCAG